>NC_000001.11:243305333-243456848 GCF_000001405.40 Homo sapiens | reverse complement strand
TTCAAGCTGAACTCTAGGTCTTCCATCCCAATTCTACAATAGAAAGTTAAATATGATCAGAATACATGGTCCAGGAAAAGCACAAGAACGAAGAGATAAAGATGGAAGATTGCCCCCTAAATACAATAAAATAAAAAATAATCCCCTACCCCTTTACCAAAACCAAGCCAATTGCCCTCCCTCTACCCCCTTTTTAAATGCTGGGAATGACCCACTTTAACCTAGGCATATTGGTATAAAAATAAAAGCAAAAAATCTAGCTTTCTTGATGTATTTATATGAAAATAAACATATAGGCACAGCTAATAGCTCACTCTAATTTCTCTCTAAGCAGAGCCTCTCATACAGGTTTACTATTACATTCAGAGGCATGCATTTTTTAAAAATACTATTTACTCTGCCACTACATCTCCAAATTTGTCATCTGACTATATTTGTACAGCTTCGTTAAACTAATCCCCAGAAGTGTCCCACGTCATTTAGCTTTTGATAACCTGAAAAGCCCAGTGACCCTGGGTCATCTGCATGACCCAAAGCCAGCCACAGAATTAATAAGTGAATTTCCCTACCAACCAGGGCAGGCTCAAGGATGAGAGCAGAACCCGATGACTCTTCTCAGACCTAATTATGTCAGGCTTTCCTGTTCAGTAAACCAAAACAGGGAGAGAAAACTGAGGAGAAAGGCTTTCCACCAAGATAAATTCTGCATGCTCCCGGTTCATTCGATGAATAAGGAGTTGGAAGATCCAGAAAACTAGGATGATGGAGACTGAACTGACTGGGTCCATGCTCTGAGCTCCCACAGCCTGTAGACCAGCGATCAGCCCACGCCAACAGTCCTTGCTCCTGCAACACGCATCCCTTCGGTCCAGAGGCCATTCTGACCCACTTGTTTGTTTCCTTAGGGGCCACAGCGATGCCCAACCAAATATTTGGACAAATGAGAAAATAATTTGTTGAGTAACATTATCAAATGTACTTTGCACTTGAAATGTGGCACACACAGAGGGTTCTAATAAAGTAAATCACGTTTATATGCATTACAAGGGGAACTTACTATAATGAATTATGTTGCTAAGTGAAGAATGACTACTTAACTAATCCATTTTGTAAATATGGATTTAATATGTTGGGTTTGCTTAAAGTGAGATATACTGACAACAGTTTGGCTTTCTATCAAGCTGGATTTGGAGTAAGATATTTTGAATTAGGTCATTTATTAAATTTCAGAGCCTCTAGTCTCTCAACATGATCAAGTGTGATCAAGATAGATGGAAATAGGCTAGGTGCGGTGGCTCTCGCCTGTAATCCCTGCACTTTGGGAGGCCAAGGCAGGCAGATCACTTGGGGTGAGGAGATCGAGACCAGCCTGGCCAACATGGTGAAACCCAACTCTATTAAAAATACAAAAATTAGTTGGGCATGGTAGCCGACACCTGTAATCCCAGCTACTTGGGAGGCTGAGGCAGGAGAATTGCTTGAACCCAGGAGATGGAGGTTGCAGTGAGCTGACATAGCACCACTGCACCCTAGCCTGGGCAACACAGCGAGATTCCATCTCAAAAAATAAAAACAAAAATAAAGATAGATGGAAGTAAAGCAATTAACGTTTAGCAACTGGCCTACTTTTTCATGTTAGGGCAAAATAAAACTTCAAAATTCCCTAGGAATTTTTTGTTAAAGCTTTCAAAAGTTTTCATTTCTTCATTCTGAAATAGATTTCCTCCTTTCAAAATTAAACTTTTCTTTTAAAATGTGCCCTAGATTTTCCTTGTCTTATGAATTACAGCATTTTAATCATAAGTAGTGTATATAATTTCAAAATTAATATTGCTTTTGGTTATTGAAAACAAATGAACAGTTAGAAAATTACGTCATGGTGGATCTATTCATTTTGTCAAGCAGTTTATTTCCACCGTATCTGGGAAGCTTATTCCCACCGTATCTGGGAAGTTTATTTCTACCGTATCTGGGAAGTTTTCTCTGGTTACCCCAGACACCGACCACAGTGGAGGGTGCATCTGTCATGCTGACTGAAATCCTGACCAGGTGAACGGTCCACTCTTGCAAAATGCTATGCTGCTCACTAAACAAGATAACAGGGACAAACAGAAGATAGTACAGGAGCACAGGCTTTAGACATCTCAGTTGTTGAATAATGTAACTTCTCCAACTCTCCTTTGGCTCCTTTGGAGAACACGGTTATTATTATTATTAACCACAATATGTGAGATAACATATGCTTAGCTGGAGCAGATTCCTATTAGCCACTCAAAAACGGCGACCTCTTCCCTTACTCGTGCTTGTTCCGACATGCCCAAACGGGTACAGTGATGTAGGCTGTGGTGCACGGGGGCTGTGGGGTAAGGAAAGAAGTGCATTCCGAGTGGATGCATTACCTCCCACAGTTCCAAGATAACCAAACGTGAGCGAACCAGGCCTCTCTGCCTGGCTGAAGGGGTATGAGTCCCGGGAAGAGGAAACTCTGATTTTAGGCCTGTGGAAATCAGTTCCCAGATGCTCTGCTTGGCCTCTGTGTCTCAGTTTCATAGTTTCAAAGGAAGACAATACTAATAATTCATCTTGCACGGTATATATGAAAAGAAGTATCTTTTTCATGTTTTAAAGGTCATTGAATATATAACAGCTAGATAGTTAAAGCAAAATACCATATTCATCAGTGAAATAGAAAAGTTTAGCAGCATTCATCTGTTCTCATTTTAAATTTACCACAGTATGTAAATTAGAGGATTTAAAAAAGCATCAGGCAAAAATCTGAGCTAGGTGCGAATGAAAAGCACAATCAGAAGCAAATTTGTGACTGCTTGAAGTTAAGAGTTTGCCAAATGGGATGGTACTTAGATTTTACTACTAATCTGAGTTTATGTAAAGCCAATAGAAAGATCCCAATTATTGTTATATACCCAGAGTAGGAATTTGCTGCTAAACTGCTGGAGAATATAGGTCTCAGGTTGGCTTTTGTAAACATCTTATTTTATGTGCTGAAATTATCACAGGAATACTACACACTGAGCTGAACTTTAAACACTCAGTCCTGGTATTATATATACAGTCTGAAGAAAATAAACCAAATAAAATTTGGATTACTGGCTGAATTACCTGATTTTAAAAATATTTTGCTGGAGTTGAGAGAATCTATTTAGCCAGGAAGAGCAGTTATTCTATCAACCGAACATTTCAAAATACGATTGATGGCAAAATGAGATAACCTGATCATTCTTAACAGGATTTTCTTACATCCAGAACATTCACACTGTATCAGAAATGTACAGAGGCGGGTTTGTGATTCACACTCTTGTAGAGCTCAGTGGGCCAATATGTTACATTGAGACATCAGCCTACTATTTAAACAACACCCTGTCTGGTTTCTATGGCACAAACTACCTTCAAAAACAAAATGAACCATATTAAATGAAGCCCAGGGAAAGTCAAGCTCAGGAGTGCTGCCATAGTCTGTACTCCGAGTCAGGAGACCTGGACTTTTATGTTGCATTGACCCTGCAGTCTTGGGCTGGGGCCTCAAGCCCACCAAGAAGAGTGTAATTTACCAGCCACTGCAGAGTACAGCCGGTGGGATGGAGACAGATGCCCACCTGAGTGCCAAGCGAAACCTGCTCCAAATTTTGTGATCCCCAGTCTGAATTCCCAAAGTCCTAGAATACTGTTGATCACCTCCTGCACCCTCCAATAACATCATGATATCTCATCAACTCCGGAAAAGGAGAGTCATAAGATAAATGTATTTTCTACTTCACAATGCCTAATCATTCAGAACACTACACTTTTTGAGTGCCTACTATGTTCCAGGCACTGTTCTAGGCAGCAGGAAATCAGTGATGAACAAGACGGATGAAGTCCTTGCCTCGTGGCACTCACAGTTCAGAGAAGGAAAACAACAGAGTAAGAAGAGTCACTCAGTTCTTCAACGTTTTGAGAGGCTGCTAAAGGATCAGACCTAGAACCTTGCCTGGCACAACAGAAGCCCTCACAGAATAATTGGATCTGCTTCTCAGAAAAGAAATAAGTAAACATTAAGTTTTATATAAATTTTATGAAGGTTCACAGCCCATCTATGCATTTCAGTGTAAGAATCTCATTGCAGGCTGGGCACGGTGGTTCACACCTATAATCCCAGCACTTTGGAAGGGTGAGGCAGGAGGATCACTTGAGTCTAGGAGTTCAAAACCAACCTGGGCAACACAGTGGGACCCCATTTCTAAAATATATACATATATATATAGCCAGGTGTGATAGTGCACACTTAACAGTCTCAGCTACTCAAAAAGCTGAGGGAGGAGGATCCCTACAGGCCAGGAGTTCGAGGCTGCAGTAAGCTGTGACTGCACCACTGCACTCCAGCTTGGGTAACAGAGCCAGATACTGTCCCAAAAAAAAAAAAAAAAAAAAAAAAAAGAGATGAGATCATCTCAAGGGTAGGGAGAAGTCAAAAAGGTATGACAGAGAAAGAGATAGAGGAGTCTAACTCTGTTTGCAAGGGTTACTAGGGGAGGTAACAAAAAGGGGAAGACGAAAAACCCCAGCTGAGCCTGTTACTGTTTGCATTTCCTTTTACACAACTAACACATGCTTAGTGCAGAAAACTTAGAAATGGCCAGAAAGTGCAGTGGAAGAAGGCACACCAGTAATCCCAGAGAGCACTACTATATTCCTTTCTGGTGTGTGGCCTACTGTCTGTCTGTGTGTGCACACACATGGAAACGCCTGAGCATGCACACGCAGGTGTAACGAGATGTAACAAGAGGGACACAATTTTATTCAGCAGCTGTGTGGTTGTCAAAGGGCCTTTGATGGAAGGGTTTTTTAACTGTGGGTCATGACCCTTTAGTGGGTCACAAAATTACTTTAGCAGGCCGCAATCAACTTTTTATTTTATTTTTTGAGACAAAGTCTGGCTCTACTGCCCAGGCTGGAGTGCAGTGGCGTGATCTCAGCTCACGGCAACCTCTGCCTCCTGGGCTCAAACGATCCTCCCACCTCAGCCTTCTGAGTAGCTGGGATTACAGGCACGCACCACCAAGCCTGGCTGGTTTTTGTATTTCTTTTTTTGTAGAGACGGGGTTTCTCTATGTTGTCTAGGCTGATCTCGAACTTGTGAGCTCAAGTGAGCCACCCAACTTGGCCTCCAAAGTGCTGGGATTACAGGCATGAGCCATCGGGCCTGGCTTAAATTTCCTTTAGTATATATACGTAAGTGTCTGTATGCATGTGTGTACAATGTGTGCTTACTCAAGAAGCAGGCTACTCTGAATATGTCCATTTAAGACAAGAGTTGTGGCAGAACTGGATGGTTCTGCATAATAGAAGGGGGTGAAGAATGTTTGGCTCCTAGAAATATGAGAAGGCAAAGAATTAGAAAGTTATAGGGTTAAGGAAAGCGGGAGATAGGACAAAAAAAAGTTCCAAGTTGGGAATGCACCCAGGAAAGGATTATGGAGGGGAGAACTAAGTATTAATGGAGATTGTTATGTTGTTTCTAAGGGAGGTATGGCATGAATGTTTTCCATCTTACAATATCTTCAGTAAAATCCATGCTGATCAGCAGTACATTTGTGCCTATGAAATCTTTAGGGAAACTCAAGGAGATGCTGAGCTCTATGTACAAACTGACATGGGGCAAAATTTGAGTCTACATGTGTGAGATACACAAGCTAGAGTATGAAGAAGATGTGACATTTGCAGTACATATCCATCTATAGATCTATAACTATATACCTTCTGTGTATGCAAAAGATGAAATAATGTATACTACTTTTACCCTATTTCCCCTTAGGGGATATATTTTGAACATTTTGTCATATCAATAAACACTTCTTTTTCAACAAGTGATTTTAGCAGCATTTTAGAATTAAATGCTATATTAATCCTAACGCCTGTAATCCCAGGATTTTGGGAGGCCGAGGCGGAAGGATCACCTGAGGTCAGGAGTTCAAGACCAGCCTGGCCAACATGGTGAAACCCCGTCTCTACTAAAAATACAAATATTAGCCGGGCGTGGTGGCGCACACCTATAATCCCAGCTACTTGGGAGGCTGAGGCAGCAGAATTGCTTGAACCCGAGAGGCAGAGGTTGCAGTGAGCTGAGATGGCACCACTGTACTCCCAGCCTGGGCAACAGAGCAAGACTCTGTCTCAAAACAAACAAACAAACAAAACCAGGTTATATAACAAAACAAACAAACAAAAATAAACAGGTTATACATACCCTATGCTGTCCACTCATATCTCTACTAAAACAGGGGCTAGCAACGCTAGAATACATGCTTTCCCACGAGACAAGAATCCCTGGAAGTCAGTGATTGATTTATCTTCCATATCTCCAAGGTCTGCAGAATTCCTATCATGTAATAGGTATTCAATCACCTTTGTATTTTTCGCTGGTTTTCTGTTTCAAATGAACCAAACTATACAGCAGCTTAAAGGAGTTGCAAAATAGCTAATGAAGCCAGGGGAGTTCAAACCCTAATGGTGTGGTGGAAAGAACTGAGGACACATATGGAATCAGCCTATATTAATCCTAACCATTACCTAACAACTTTTAAATGAAAACAATGTCAGTTCCTAGAGAATCATTCATTAATTCAATACACTTCCATACACTGGGACTTCAGAGATTGATAACACATGGTTCACATTGAAGACCTCACAATCTAATGAGGAGAGAAGGACATCGAAGGCCATGAATACAGTGCTCTAAGTGCTGGAAAACAGAGACGTCTACCATAGGAACAAGGTCTGACTAACTGCCTAGAATCAGGGAATGTTGGCCTCTAGAGAAAGCTCATGTTTTTAACCCTGCCCCTACCCAACCTCAAAAATCCCACCCTGAAAGAATAGTTCTGGTGAGAAATTTGGCAATCAGATCCAAATACGTTTTCAAGCTCTTCCTTGGAGCCATTTATTGAAGTGGAAAAGACAGAATCCCAAGATGGGAGTGTGGACCTAAGGGGAAAGGGCCAAGGGACTGCCCGAGTTGCCACATTTGCAGTCACTGAGGCCTCCCTACTCTAGGCAAAAGGCCAAAAGGAGCCCAGGACTCCATGGTCCAGTCGGGCCTAACAGGAGGTAACCCTGCTAGTGAACACAGAGGCATAATTCAAAATGAGAACTACGAAATGCAACACTAACACTATGTGTTAAGGGCCATGTGGAAAAACTGGGGCACTTCCAGACGTCGGTCACAAAAATAATGATTTTAAAGTGGAAGAGATACAGAAGTTAAGTATATTTGGTTTGAACAAGAAATGATAATGTGTTTCCAAGGATCGTCTTCCAAGGGCTGTTCTGCCTGGCTATGTGAAAGAAGAAACGTGTTTCCCAGCCTCAAGTCTATGCTATCTCCTTCATCTATGATACAGAAATCACTAGCAATATGTAAAAAGCCAAATTTAGCTGATTTTTTAAAAACAAAACTGTCACAAATTTTGCAACTTACCAATTATTCTTTAATGTATCAGCCACTGGGGGAACCAAAAGCTTGGAAAATATATAATTCATTCCAAATGGTTATCATAAAATTTGTAAAGTCAGAGTCATTTATGTAACTGCTAACAACCTTAGCAAGTCGCTCCATTAAGCATGACCTACAAACCTTGAAAAATAAGGATCAACTAATAACACAATGAGTTGTTAAATAGCCTAAGTAGAGCCAGGCAGCCACTCCAGTTATAATGAGATCAAAGCATATTTAATAGTGTGATTAACACTTACTGAGTGTCCACTGGATGTGCATCATTATACAATAAAACTATAGATTTTTATTACTTCATAATAGTAATTAGACACACATATAGTGAGTAGGTTTTCCAAACATGAAGATATACATGAGAGGTTATAAAATATTTTTTAAATGTTGCACATACACATCAAGTTCTGCTTTTGTCTCATTTTTACCCTTCTACAATTTTAGGAGATAAAAAGGATGATAAAATATGATGATTTTTAAAAAGAAGATAAAAAGGACTACAAATTCATTTAGTAAATGCCTTCTAAGGGCCAGGATCTGAACTATAGGCAAGAGATACAAAGATGACCAGAGTATGGTTTCTGTCCTTAAGGAGTCACAGTCTAAACAAGTTGGACAGTCAAAGAATAATTATAATGTCCTGTACATTTGAGCAAACTGCTGTCTGAACGAAGTGCTGAGTAACACAGAGAGTGGCATTAAGGAAGCCTGTACTGGAGATGATGGCTGACCTGTGTCTTGGGAAATAAGAGGTCTCTAGGCAGGGGAGGAAAAGGTCTTTCAGGCACGAGCACCCGGACTGTGAATTCTGAGAGACAAGGGTTAAGTCTTACACATCTTTTCAACCCCAAAGCCTACCACAGGCCCCTGTTACCATTGTTAGAACACAATACATATCTGAAGAATGTATGTATGTAGAGTGAAAGAACTATAAATAAAATAAATACATGAACAAACACCAACCACCTCTCTACTTTTATTCACACTTGATTCTAGATTCCTGAGAAGAACGGAACAACAGAAAATCCCTTTTCAGAGCTCATGAACTATAAAGAAAAGATGTTTACTCTCCTTGTTTGCTACAGCCAGATTTAGTAATGGACATAACCAAGCCCTGGAGGACCTGTTTCTGTCTAAATCTATGCCTTGACAAGGTCCCAGAAGCCTGGATGAACCACACCTCAAGCTTCACCTGTGGATGACACCTCCCATTGTTCAGCAATGCGGGTGCCTGCAGCAGCTACAGCCATGAGCAGCTCTCCCAACCCATGAGTTAGGAAGCAAGGACTCGGGAATCCTGCTGCACACTATGCTATAAGGGAAATAAAGCCAAAATAAAAGCCACGGTTGGGACAGGAAGGGTGAAAGATGATCACAAAGCCACGCAGAAACTATTTAGCTCCTCTAAGAAATGCCACAGGAAGCCATTTACATGCTTAGTTTGGTGACATGTCTCCAAGAACCACCCCACAGGGAAGTTTGTAGCTCTTCACACCATATCCCCTTACCCTTCTTTGTAAAGTTTTAAATGTTTACAAATATTTTTATTTATATTATTTGAACTATAACTTAAATTTTAAAAATGGTTAATAATTCTGAAGACTTATCAATGCTTTTAATATCCTAATGTACATTCTGACTCTCTAAAAAGTACATAGTTTATGCAGTATGTTCCAAAACTAAGATATCATGCAAACCTTTTTTTCAAAGACTATCTGTGAAGGACGGATTGTCTGTAAAACACATTTGCAAAAGTGCTGCCCCACCCCTTTGAGTCACAGTGTAGCAAAGGAGTAAACAGGCAGTTATGTAAGATAGTGTGTGTGTGCGTGCGCAGGCACACACACACTATAATCACCATCTTGATAGATACTAAGACCTAATTAAGGAAGAAAAATAGAATGGATGCTCAGATCCCCTTCCTCCCCCAAAATAAAAGGAAAAGTGGAAGGATTATATTCACCCAATTTAGAGAGAGAATAGTTGTTCATTACCTATTGATTTGTTCATTCCTCATTTAGCGATGAGACTTAATACATTCATAATGCCTTTTAAGAATGAGGCATGGTTTTTTTTTTTTTTTTTTTTTTTTTTTTGAGACGAAGTCTTGTTCTGTCACCCAGGCTGGAGTGCCGTGGCGCGATCTCGGCTCACTGCAACCTCTGCCTCCTGAATTCAAGTGACTCTCCTGTCAGCCTCTGGAGTAGCTGGGATTACAGACACGGCCACTGTGCCTGGCTAATTTTTGTATTTTTAGTAGAGACAGGGGTTCGCCATGTTGGCCAGGCTGGTCTTGAACTCCTGAACTCAGGTGATCTGCCCGCCTCAGCCTCCCAAAGTGCTGGGATTACAGGCGTGAGACACCGTGCCCGGCCAAGCATGGGTTCTTAATCCAAGAGTTTCCTAAACCCATTTGAAGCTATTTGTATTTTCAGCCATACAGTCTCCTAAGAAAGTAGTCCTTCCATGACTTTTATGCAAGGAGTCAATCAGGTCCCCATCCGAGAAAGCCTGGCTGCAGCCCCAAGCAGCCCCAACTGGGCAGCAGGTCACCTGAAAACCTGTACATGAGGTATATTCTCCAGGCTGAACAGTGGCCGATGCTTTTATTGCCAAGTAGCTATGGATGGTTTGCTCAGTATATAAAAGCTCCACTGGCCCAGCTTCTGGGTGGGGTGAGGCTGATGTTCTTAAGCCAGGAACAGAGAAAGCAGAAAGGAAACAGATAAAGTTCCCTTTCTTCTGCCTCCAAGTTGGCCTTTCTCTGACACAAAGAAAAAAATTGGTCAGGTGCAGTGGCTCATGCCTATAATCCCAATGGGAGGCCAAGGTGGGCAGATGGCTTGAGCCCAGGAGTTCGAGACCAGCCTGGGCAACAAAGTGAGACCTTGTGTCTATAAAACATACAAAAATTAGCCGGCATGGTGGTGCATGCCTGTAGTCCCAGCTACTCGGGAGGCTGAGGTGGAAGGATCAATTTATCCCAGGATGTTGAGGCTACAGTAAGCAGTGATAGTGCCACTGCACTCTAGCCTGGGCAAGAAAGACAGTGAGACCCTGTCTTAAAAAAAGAAGGAGGAAAGATAGTGCATGGAGAATGCAATGCACATTCTTCTTAACCAGTTATTATGTTATACATCTTTACTTGTCTGACTCAGGTAGTTCCTTCCAAAGTACAGTAGAAGCTCTCTAAATGGAGCACCACTTACCCTGATCACCCAACAACTAACCCTTTCCTTTTCCCTCTGTCAAACACATGAATGATGTCCACGGCACACTCAGTGCTATGGCCAATGACTGCTACTCACCAGCACAAATGGGCGCTTGTGCTCCCAACAGTTGTGCTCTACTTCCTAAAGTCAGCCATGTTTCTTCCCAAGCCTGTGTGTGCTGCTTACATAAACGTAATTCCATGTTTGCTGAATTCAGAAGTATGATTGTTAAAAAAAGAGTTGCTGATTCTATGAAAACGCAGTGGAGTGATTTAGAAGCATTCAACAAAGCTGAATTTCCACCCCCCAACACAAAAAGTTTGTCCAATTAGGTGTGCCTGAAATAAATGTAAAAGATTTGGTGGGCAAGGGCCATTAAAATAGCAAATTCTGCATGAAGGCTGTTTCCCAAGTGTCTTTATGTCCTCACTTAGTTTGGAGAAATCAAAATTGGGTGCAATAAAAGATGTATTTTGGGTGTTGTTTATCCAGGGCAAATGACATGGCATGCCAAATCAGGTGATCCTTACACACAAAAAATATGCCTCAGCCCCACATATCCATCACCTGTCATGTATTTTTTGACCTTCCAATTAACCATCCAACTTCTGGTCTCAAGGTCACTGGACAAAATAGCTTCTGGTAAACATCTGATTATTTATGTCCATTGTATATTTTCCTTTTCATCATTAGTACTAGTCCACCTCCCTATTTCTGGAAGCATATAAGTTATTGAGTGGGTACAGTAGAAAACACTAGACCTGATGTCAGAAAACGGATTCGAGTCATTACTTGTATTCTTTGGGCTTCCGTTTTCTTATCTATAAAATGTGGTGCTGGGGATGGGGATGGGAATGGAGGGTGGGAGTAGACGACAAGAGGTGAAGTTGGACTAGATAATCTTTCAGGCCTCTTCTGATTCTATAAAATGCCATTCTACATAACTCGGGTCATATAAGACAGGCAGAGCTCCTTAAAAATTTATTAGTCTTTAGAAATACATTAGAAAATAATATTTGGAAAAATATGTTTGTTATTAATGTGAGAATAAGTAAATTTACTTGAGATAAGTAGACTTTTTTAGGAATTTTAATTTAAAAGAAGAAAATATAAAAGTAACCACATATATAAATGATTAAAATAAGATTTAAGTTGCCAACATAAAATAGAAATTGATATCCTTATAATTTGAGAATAAGAAAAGATCTAAAAGATGTTATATCTTAAATGTCCATGCTATCTATAACAAAAAACAAACTTTTAGAAGAAACTATTCTTATTAATTTACAGTTCCAAAGTGGATTACAAAGTTGCATTTCTGAGAATACCATGCAGTATAAAATTAAATAATATTCAGTATTAACTTTAATTTCACTAACAACAATTATTGATTGGTGGAAATAAATTACCCAAAGAAACAAATGCCACTTTCTTTCAGATCTTTAGATCTGGCCAGGCGCAGTGGCTCACGCCTGTAATCCTAGCATTTTGGGAGGCTGAGGCAGGCGGACTGCCTGAGCTCAGGAGTTTGAGACCAGCCTGAGACCAGCCTGGGCAACATGGTGAAACCCCATCTCTGCTAAAATAGAAAAAATCAGCTGGGCATGGCAGCATGTGCCTGTAGTCCCAGCTACTCAGGGGGCTGAGGTAGAAGACTCACTTGAACCCGGGAGGTGAAGGTTGCAGTGAGCCAAGATCACACCACCGCACTCCAGCCTGGGCAACAGAGCGAGACTCCATCCCAAAAAAAAAAACAAAACAAACAAACAAACAAAAAAACTTTAGTGCCGCAACAGAACTAAAATAAAGTTAAGCCTATGACGTAATCTAAATCACACTTGAATTCCTTTACTAGCAATGTGGCTTGTCAAAAATAAGTATTTCTAGATAAAAAGAAAATTACTGGAGCTCACTACCTCACATATTGTTTTGCTGCTTCTTTCATTTTAATTATTAATTAAAATGGTGTCTGAATTACCTTCTGTGCCACAAAAATTATACAAACTAGGCTCATATAGAAACATAAGAAGTTTAAATCTAAGTACACATGATCCTTTCAAATAACCATTTGTCATTTGTCAGTGGGAAGAATAAAAACAAGCGTAATTTTCAGTTTGTGTGCTGCCTTGGAGTCTATATCAATTTCAAGTTTTCTTTTATGATTCAGCTATTCCAAGAGTTCCAAGAGTCTGAAAATATTTCATTAAAAATTAATGTGTTATCCACACAAATGGCAAATATTGAAAACTAGGAATATAAATAAAAAATAATAAAAATAGTAAGTCTACTAATACTGAAGAGGAAGGAAGACAGGAGGGGAGGAGAGCATGTGAAAAGGAGAGAGATTTTAAACATCCGGTTTCTATTCTGGACCATTATGGAAACAGACAGACACAGCAAGCGGAAGCCAAATTTATTCTTGGGCTCTGACAGGATTTGTTTTCGATCTTGTCATTATTTTTACTATATTCTTCCTAATAATATTTCTCCAGTGTTCTAGATTTCCTGACCGACAATACCAGTCTCATTAAGAGCTTACAAATGAGAACTGTGGAGGATTCAGGCACACTGGTGGGGTCTAGCTGCCTTGCGAGGTTACCTGCTGGGGCTTTAAAACTTTCCCAGGAACTCTTCTGCACTAAGGCACACAATTATGTGTGTGCACATGGCCCCCATCCTATGCAACCTTCCCAAGTCCCATTGAGTGATTTGCCTAGGACCTAACACACAACCTCTGGCAGAGCAACAACCACCTGGTGTATCATAAACAGGTGAAGATGAACAAACAATGCCCATTTCACTAACACTGGTACAAAGGCAATAAATTCCCCATGCATCTTCTTCGCCCTTTTTGTATGAATTGTTCCAAGTTAAATAGCAAGCAAATACTTTCCTTATTCTATCTCAAACCTTTCCCTTTACATGTCACTGAGAGAAAGTTACACTGCTTATCAAACATGCAGCCATGGACACACACTTGTTCCTACATCAAAATAAAACACAATAGAGCTCCTCTACACAAAGATAATGAGGGAACTATTTTGAAAATATGAAAGATTTGTTTAATGCAGACTAGAAAAACATCTCTTTGCATCAAAATAAGTGTCCCTCTTTATTGCATACTGATTATTTTCTATAGAATTTAAATTGTACATAAAATTATATTTGTGCCTTGTTTAATGTAAATTGATTGTCTCAATTATTGGGAAAGGATTTGAATTTTAATGGACTATTTTGCTGGAGATATGCCAAGCAAATCAGCAAAAACTCTAATAGCTCTAGCTGGAGGTACACAGCCAAACATTTAAATCAGGAAGAAGATGTGGTTCCAAGAATTGACACTAAAGAAGTAGTCTGAAAAGGTTTGTAAGCTTTTCTCCATGAAGAAGAAATCAGCTTTAACTTTCAGTGTTGGAAGATTCTGTGACTGTGAGGCTGTCATTTGGTTTCTGTCTGAAAAAACTGGAAAGATCCACACATGAGTGGAAAGAACTTTTGTGGCTATACTTTTTTTTTTTTAATGTTCTTTTTCCCTACAGATTAGGTTATCTATGAAAATCAGGGCTTTACACTGAAGGCAGAACTGACGTAAAATCCAGAGGCACTGTGTCATGCAAGCACTGAGACACACTTGAATGGGACGCTTCCTTGTCTTTGGGAAGGCCACACCAGGAGGTTGGCTGTAGACGCATCACAGCCACATGCCACGTAGTTACTGCTTGACATGTCTCCTTCTTATAATCCAGAGTCTATGACGTCAAACAAATCTCCTCCATTCTTACTATCACAGGCAAGAGCCGACCTTAGCCATCTTGCTACCCAGACGGTTGCAACATTTTTATTGTTCAATTACAACCAGTGATACCAGAGGTGCAGATACACATCTGCTGCAAATTGCCACCCTTCTACTAAAATCCTTTTCACAATTCCTCAATCTCAAGAAACACTGTTGATATAGATGTAAAAATCACCTCTTGGGGTAATATGATGATCTATTCACTTACACAGCAAAATGTACACCTCATTATTAACCAACATGAATTCATTTTGAATGCTACCAATTTGAGGTATTTTGTAAAAATACGAAGTTTTATTATAATAGTTTCCATCTTTAAAGAGCCTCTTTTTGCCACAGAGAGCTGATAGTACTAATATAGACACACATATAGATGTTATAACAGCACAGAATATAAACTAAGCTTTGGGCCAGTGAATAAAGATTTCTTCTGTTATTCATCAAACTTTTCTGAATGAATTTCTATGATGTTAAAGAATCAAGCTCAATATAAGACATTTCTTTCTATAACAACATTCAGAAAGTCTAGAAAGGGTCATAAATTATGATCAATGACAGTTGTGACTCCTCCTATGTGCTGATCTGACTTGTATAAAACAATCTCAATGTTAAGATACTCCAAAGTCTGTATGATATATCTGTACCTATATTTACATATATATATTTTAACAAACCTAGAGTTTTCTGACAACTAGATTTTTGATTAAAATTCTTTGTTCCCTAATTAGTACATCTCAGATTTTAGGTAATAAAATCTAGCCATATGAATTTGAAGAAAATGCTACTCCTAGGCACACCATTTACCATTTTACTGTAGAAGAGCATAAATTCTGACCACAGATTTCCTTCTAGAAATGAAGAGAGTATTCTAGAAATGAAGAACCAAAGCAACAGGACCGTGAAAAGAGAGCAGGAAAGTAATGTAAAATTGAGGGGAGTATCAGACAAAGAAAAAGATAAAAAAATAGCAGAGAAGTACCATGGGCTGGTTAGAAAACAATTCAGCATGAACAGCACGTTTGGCATCTTAATACCCATCCATCCCCTGTACCCACATTTGCAGAGGACTGTGTGAGCTTCACTTAGCAGCCAGAGTCAGCAATACATCAGCTAGATGGATGCCTACTTTCTTTTAATGACACATTTGCCTAACATATAAATATTAAAATTTACATTTGTTGGAAAAGAGTGACTCAAAAGCCTCTTTAATGCTGTTTTTCTATATTCATACAAAATGCCTTTAAAATACCGGCTCCTTAAAGCTGACTATTTTCCATAGATAAGAAGGAGAAAATGGTTTGGCCCATGTTCATATACAAAATAAATTCTTTTATGGATAATGGCCATTTTTAAACCAATTAATTTCTAGAAAACAAAAGCCCAGAAAATATCACCAGGAATAGATCATCAAGATATTATCACAAAACCAAACATTGACTTTAATCTGCTCAATTCCCATCACCAGCAGCCTGCATGCTACACACGGCCAAAACAATGCACGAAACTGCTCTTCCCCCTTAAATATACACATTCAGCTCAACAAAGGAAAACACTCTTCAAAAGCACGAAAGGCATTGCTTTCCTTATGTAATCACCTCAGAAGTTATTTTGTTCAAAATTACCAAAGAAATGTCAAAAAGCCATGGTATCCCACAAAGCAGTTAATTCATTATGTTTGACTGAGTCTAGATTTCAATCCTTTGTGCAACATCAAAAGTGCACAATTGGAACACTGCTGCCTACAGGGCCTTACACACAGCTCCAACCCCATGTCAATGCCTTCCAGCCATTTCCCAGAATTCCTGGAATTCTTCCTGGAACTGACCCATAGGCTCTCCGACAGGCAAAGTGAACTGCCCTTCCCAAGTCAGGTGAAAAGGGTCTGCCTTGGAACAAAACCTCTCAAAGGCAGCCTGAAATTCAGTGTTTCCTGAGACAAAAGCAGGGTCCTGTCTAGCAGCAGAGCTTATTTAGTTTTAAAGGAAGACCTGCTAGTTAATGTTTTTCTTTTCCTTTTTTTTTAATTTAATAATGATATACTATTAAGTGTGAATTGCAGAATAAAACCGAAGAACTTATTTTATTTAACAAAAACATACGTCGTTTTGTACACGCCAGGCAAATGCTAAGCTCATTTAAGCCTCATAACCCTATGAGGTGGGACCTTTTCCGTTTTTCTCTCCTATAATGAAGACACTGACTCACCCAGGGGTGAAGTAACTTGCACAAGGTCAACAGCAGGTTCAGTGGTGGGACTGGCACTAGAACCCAGGCAGAAAGCTCCGGAAACTGCATATCATTAACCATTATGCACCATATGCTCCATTAGCAATTAAAAAGTCTTTTTAAAAGCTCATTTAGTCTTGCTACAACCTGGGAAGCTTTCTAAGACACATTAGCCTGAAAGGCCCCTAGTAGAGAGAGAATTTGACTTAGATGTAACAAACACTGTCACTTGTAGTCCAAGCCCCGCTGAGAGGCTGGCTTGCTGGGGAAACTCAGGTAGTTAAAAGCATGGGCTCTGACATCAGATAGCCCTGCATTCCTAGACTAACAATGCCACATATTAGCTATGTGATGTTGGGTAAGTTATATAACTTCTCAGAGCCTCAATTTCCCCCTCTAGAAACAGAAGGCAATACTACTATCTCTACAGAATAGCTCCAATGATGTGTGTGTGTGTGTGTGTGTGTGTGTGTGTGTGTGTGTGTGTGATGGAGTCTCACTCTTGTTGCCCAGGCTGGGGTGCAGTGGCGTGATCTTGGCTCACTGCAACCTCCGCCTCCTGGCTTCAAGCGTTTCTCCTGCCTCAGCCTCTGGAGTAGATGGGATTACAGGCACCCACCATCCCACCTGGTTAATTTTTTGTATTTTTAGTAGAGACAGGGTTTTACCATGTTGGCCAGGCTGGTCTTGAACTCCTGACCTCAGGTGATCCACCTGCCTTGGCCTCCCAAAGTGCTGAGATTACAGGCATGAGCCACTGCGGCCGGCCAGATGATTAAATTTAAAATGGTAAACTGGGTGCAGTGGCATGCACCTGAGGTCCCAACTACCTGGGAGGCTGAGGTGGGAGGATCACTTAAATCCAGGAGGTTGAGGCTGCAGTGAGCCATGACTGCACAACTGCACCCCAGCCTGGGTGACAGAGTGAGACCCTGTCTCAAAAAATAAAAAATAAAATAAAAATAAAAGAAGAAGCAGTCACCAGTATTGTAACACATTATCACACATTGTTTTCCATTCTTCCACGCCTCACCTTCCATTCCCTCACTCTCACTGCCCAGGGACTACAGCCAAAATAAACATTCATATTTAATCCTTGCACAGGTTCTAAGACAGTAGGAATGAAGGAATTGGCAGCATCTTCATTGAAGTCACTCACTTGGTTAGTTAACATATCTTAAAACAGATATGGAAAGATACAAACCAGAGGAATGTCATAGGAATGGAAGTAGTTGGATAATGCGAGCAAAATCACTGGTGAAAATGTCAATAAACTCAGAGATCAGAAACAAACTGCAAAGTTAAAGATAGGCCATGATCAGCAGAAAGTTATCAGGAGCCACTCTGGCTCACCAAGTATGAGAAAAGCCTCATGGTACTGAAAACGCTAACATCACAGAAATGTCTTTCCCTTGTTTAAAACCCTTCAAAGGCCCCTCTCAGAGTGCTCAGAAGAAATCCTAAACATTTTTACATGGTTCAAGAGAAAGACTCCTCCAGGTCTAACTTCTGAGGGGTCTACCTCCTACTAGGAGGTAGGCAGGTGCACGCGCACGTGTGCATAGACACACACACACACACACACACACACACAATCACTCCCACTCTAACAATGGGCAAAAGCCAGATAATCTTCAAAATCATATTTTTTCTTGAGCCAATCAGAGAGCTGAGGTTGCAAGGTAACTAGCTGATGTAAATTCCAAAAGGTGACATGACTCTCTGAAGGCAGAACAATTGAACCGTTTTATCTTTGGCATAGCAAGGAAAGGGGAAATGGCCACTGTAAAAGTAGATAAAAGGAAAGCAGCCAACCTTTTAATGGGTTCTTAAAGTGTGGGCTAGTGTGCCAGCCTGGAATCCATGGGAGCCCCAAACACAAGAGGACAAGAGAAACCTGCACTCATTATTGAACACTTTTCCACAGCCTTCCTCCCCCCGGATGCGCACAGGAAAGATTGAAGGCGGGGCAAAAAAACCCACGAGCAGCTTCCCCCTCCGAGGTGGGGCATGAGGACATCCACTGCCCACTGACTAGACTATTTTTTCATATGAAGCAAACGCCTCAAGCTCCCGGGGGAGGGGCAAGAAACCTTCTCAGGAAAAAGGCCCACTGCCTCCAGGAGAAGGTGAGAGGCAAAAGCTGTCTTCCTCTGGGAAATGGGTGGAAACCTGTTGCCCTGATCCTAGGAAAAATGTGAACTGTCACTGAGGGAGGGCAAAAGCAAAATCCATTAGTGGTGTGATGGTTAATGTTTAAAAAACAGCTTTCTGGCCGGACGCGGTGGCTCACGCCTGTCATCCCAGCACTTTGGGAGGCCGAGGCGGGCGGATCACGAGGTCAGGAGATCGAGACCATCCTGGCTAACACGGTGAAACCCCGTCTCTACTAAAAATACAAAAAAAATTAGCCAGGCCTGGTGGCGGGTGCCTGTAGTCCCAGCTACTCGGGAGGCTGAGGCAGGAGAATGGCGTGAACCCGGGAGGTGGGGCTTGCAGTCAGCCGAGATGGCACCACTGCACTCCAGCCTGGGCGACAGAGCGAGACTCTGTTTCAATACAAAAAAAAAAAAAAAAAAGAATTCCTCCATGTCATTTTAGGATTTGACGATAGATATTATTTCTCAAAAGAATTGTGCCCTGTACCTCCAAACCTGGGTGACATGCCAGTCTGATGTACACAGAGAGCATCCTGGGTTTACTCTTACCGTAGTCTATTACACCTGTATGATTACCGTATACCTCCCGCACTGGATTCGAAGCTTCTAAAGGGGAAATATCATGTCTTTTTTCCTTTTGTACCTAGTGCTGAATGCATGTTAATAAATACAGGGATACATTAATAAGTTAGAAGGTGCAAAATAAAGCAAAAGACAGGCAATCTAGGTTTTCACATTTAATATTCAATGTTTAAAATTGTAGAGTCTAAGGCAAAGCAACAAACACAACTACAGAAATGAAAAATCAGATTTAATTTAAAAGTTCTAAGTTAAATTTTAAGTCTTAAGAGTTAAGATAATGAAAATTCTAATCAGTTCTGGATCTACCAAAAAGATAAACCAAAGAGAGAAAATCAGCTTTAGAGAGTGAATTGACTGAAAGAGGTTTACATTGGATATATGGAAGAAATTTTTCAGGGACTTTCAGCACTGAAATGTACCTTTTTTCCCCTCTGATATAAGAACAGAAATTTACCTATTCTGTCTTTTTGCGAAAAGACCTTTCCACAGATAGGTGTTTAATACTCACAGCCTCTTGTGGTTCTTTGTACAATGCTAACATGGGTGTAGCAATTATTATTAATTGAATATTTTTGTATTATCCACAGTTAATTGTAGAAAAAGCAAAAATAATAAACATTATAAAAATATTAAAATTGGCAGGTTATAGATGGTTTGTCAGAATTTTTGCCTCCAAACAGGCATTAGTTATTTCCTAGTACTAATATAAAATTTTCCCTCCCAGGAGTAGAAGTTAAACTCTGTTAGCCTTTTGTTTTTCTGTTCCTAAAGACTTAATGAAGTTACAATTAGGAATTTAAAAAGAGTGTTCCTCTCAGATGAATGTAGTTAACTGATCTTTGACAAACAGCAAAAGTAGTAGAATAGAGCAAAAATAGAGTTTTTAACAAATAGTGCTAAAACAACTAGATATCCATATGCAAAAAAAGAATGAATCTAGACAGAGACTTTACACCCTTCACAAAACGTAACTTGAAATGGATCACAGATTTAACTGTAAAACACGAAACTATAAAATTTATAGAAAATAACATAGGAGAACATCTAGGTGACCACAGGTAGGACAATAGCTACAACACCAAAGGTACGACCCATGAAAAAAAGTTGGGGCAACCCGCTCGGGACCCCTTCCATGCTGTGGAAGCTTTGTTCTTTTGCTCTTCACAAAAAACCTTGCCACTGCTCAAAAAAAAAAAAAAAAAGTTGATAAACATGATATGATATCATACAGAGCATGTTCAATGGTAGAGATATATCATGTGTTCGTCCAAACCACAGAATGTACAAAACTAAGGCTGAACCCTAATGTAAACTATGGCCTTTGGGTGATTATGATGTCCCAATGAAGGCTTATCAATTGTAACAATTATACCACTCTGGTGGTGGATACTGATAATGCGGGAGGCTATGCATGTATGGGGTATATGGGAAATCTTTGTACCTTCCTTTCAATTTTGCTGTGAACCTAAAACTTGCATAAAAAAATTTTTTAGAGTGTTCCTTATTCCTAACTATGCTGAAAATACGATTGTAAAGAAGCAACTAGATAGATATATCCCTCTTGAAATTTTACTTGGGGCTCATACTGAAAATTTTCACCATCGAATAGAGGACACACACACACACACACATTCACATGTTCACAAACACTTAGAACATCATAGGCATATCCCAAGTCGTGGTCCAAAATGTCGTTCCATAAATCAGTTGTTGAAAATTCAAAAGGCATTTTGCCTTAGAAATAACATTATGTAAACATGGTATTTTGGTTCACAGACTAACTCACAAGAGTCAATTTAACCTATAATATAAATAAACAACCATTTAGAATCTAAGTCTCTGAAGTTCCTGCTGCAATCCCAGAATCCAGAACAGAGCTCAGCATGTATTAAGGGCCTAATAAATATGTTGAATGAAGGATATGAATGAATAGCAATGTGAAACATTTGTTAAGCACTAACGTTGTGCCAGGAACTATTCTAAAGACCTTTTTGTGGATTATTTTAGGCAGTTTTCACAACCTACAAGGTAGCATTTTGGAGATCAAGAAAGTGAGGAAGATGAAGTTTAAGATTAAGGAATTAGCCCATGGAGCTACAAAGCAGCTACAAAGAAGTAAACTGAGGAAAGCCCAGAGAACTTGGTTTTAGGAAGGATGCTGTTACGTACGATGCATACTATCTCTCTACTTTTGGCTTTAGGTCTTAAAAACAAAGGACTAGATCTTGAAGGTAGCTTAAAGCATGTAAGTTCCATAAGGACAAGGCTGTCTACGTGTCCTTTGATGTATCCCAAGCACATCAGCAGTGTATAAGCACTCGGTAAATATTTGATGAATAAATCAAAGGGTGTCTTTTTCTTTTTCCTGGGTAGTGGGCCTATCCCAGGCAAAAGTGTAACATCATTTCTTTGGCATTGTCCCAACTTTGTTTTGTTGCCTCCTTTTCCCACTTAATGTTCTCCCTGGTAATCAGTTATAGCAGCTGCCTTGTCCCAGCTAAGGTAAATGCACAGCCTGCTTTAAATAACTCATTATCCATTCCCAGATCAAAATTCTAACTCCCACAGAGTGGCAAAGCTCCCAACTTATTGGGAGGGCAGCAGTCTGATCTGGCCTTCCCACCACAGTATAAACAAACGTGACTTCCAGTCCTCACAGGGAGTTCTCAATGCATACAACTGGCTCATTACAAAGGGACTGTTTGAACCCCAATTGGCTTACAATTTTTGAATAATTTGAAAAGGATAAACTTTTCTATGTGATTTCTAGTATTCGATTGTCTGTTGTTAGACCCCTTAGATGAGACAGCCTCCCTAATCCAAACATGTCAGTGGTCCAGTGAAACAAACTCTAGGGATAACGGAACATTTCAAAACAAGATGTAATAAGATTCTTTTCTAGCAACATATACATCTCTTACCATTTCTTCATAAGAGTATAATTTTATATTATAAAATAATGGCATATAAATCTAATTTTGTTAATTTGCTCTTAATAGCATGTTATCAGTTACTTAAAAACAAACATTTGCAAGGAGCAAATCAAAGGACTGCCTCTCTACAGCAAATTGCTGAGGTGGTGGCAGGAGGCAGGGATCATATATCTGCTTTAGCAAAAGAGATAATGGGTGATTCATTTCTGTATTACAAGTCATACGGGACTTAAAATGTAGTTACTGGGAAACCATTATACCACTGATGCAAGTATGCAATACTGCACCGTAGGGGGTTAACAAAACAATCCAAAACAAACTAAATTATTGTGATGAAGCTAAATTAACAGCAATTTATAATTAAAAGCAAGAAGAGCAGCATTTGAAAATGAAGATGACCTCAGAACAACGCTGATAACCTAGTAATAATTAGAATCCTTTCCCCAAATCATCAAAAGTCAAACTAGCAGCGCTTATGTTACATCACACAAGCTCTGCCGGGTGTGGAGGCGGCCAGTAGAATATTGCATTAGCATTCGCAGTAAGTTGTTTTGGCTTATAAAAACCAAATTTTAGTACTTTTAAATTTTTTACTTAATAGATTTTGAAACTGTCCATAAGAATTGACAAAAACACCTATACTCGGGGTGAGTCTTCTGGTCATCACTACCCAGGGAGCTTGGGTCTACACCTTGATCACTTTTCTAAGCAAAGGATGAACAACTCAAGACTGCCCCAGGGGCAGTGGAAGTTTTTGACCATACACTCCAAATCTCAATAACAGACCTTTAGGTCTATATAAAACAGAGAGAACAGGAGACTTAAACAAATAAACACTTTAAGGGCAGCCAACTCCTGTCTAGCCTGCCAAGGGAGGCTGGTTCCTCAGGAGAGACTTTCTTCTTGCATCTGGGTTTCTGGAGGCATGGCAGCAGCCAGGAGTGACCTCCCAGGAGATGGCAGGTGCTGCCATGGCTACTCTGCACTGCAGGATTGCAATACTTAGGCCAGCCCAAACAGAAAGGAAGTCTGCAGCCACGAGAGTGCGGCAGAGTATATCCTTTTTTTTTTTTTTTTTTTCTTTTGAGACGGAGTTGCACTCTGTTGCCCAGGCTGGAGTGCAGTGGCGCGATCTCGGCTCACTGCAACCTCCGCCCTCCGAGTTCACGCAGTTCTCCAAGGCAGAGTATATCTTTTACATCTTTGTGTCTCCAGGCCTAGCACAGTGACTGGTACAAAACAGATGCCCAATAAACACAGAATAAACTAAGTCTGGCATCAGGTTACCTTTCCAGCACCGTATCCATAAGCCTGCATTTATCAGCTCATATAATCTCTTCTGCTACAGCTGCTGCGATGGCAACGGAGGAGGTGACCCTTCGCCCAGTTCACTATCATTTTCTGCTCAGTGCTTGGTATCCCAACCCACCTCTCTTCTCAGGAACCTTATACGCCGCACTTTGTCTACCTCAGCGTCTCCAAATTTCTTTTGACTCTCAAACCCCCTCCATAGAAACACATGGAATTTATTAAATCATCTCATTATTATATATAATAAAGAGGAACTTTTTAAGTAAAAGCATTTCATTTAAAATAAGCATAAGTTTGAACTTTGTAACATAAAATTTTAATTTTCCTGTGCAATAAATAATGCCACTATTTCATTTACATAAATTAAATCCATAGTGAATTAATTATGAAAGAAAAAGGCACCATTGGCTAATAACGTCTTCACACCAAAAGATACTCTAAAACATAGATTTGAAATTAAACCCATGTTATAAAATCAATAACAAATAAAAACAATTTCATGATTTGTTTTGAAATGTTTGCTTTTTGAATATAAAATTCAACTGCTACTGTTACAGCTTTCTCTCTTTTTTTAATTTTCCCATTTTTTTAAAACTTTTAAGTTCAGGGGTATACGTGCAGGTATGTTATATAGGTAAACTTGTATCATGGGAGATTGTGAAGAGATTATAACTGTCACCCTAGTATTAAGCCGAGTACCCATTAGTTATTTGTCCTGATCCTCTCCCTTCTTCCACCTCCTCCCCTCAGGCAGGCCCCTGTGTCTTCTGTTCCCCTCTAAGTATCCATGTGTTCTCATCATTTAGCTCCCACTTACAATGAGAACATACGGTATCTGGTTTTTTGTTCCTGCACTAGTTTGAAGAATAATAGCCTCCAGCTCCATTCATGTTCCTGCAAAGGACTCTTTTTGTTTTTAAATTATGAGATAAAGATTAAGATTTCAGGCTTCTATTTTCAAGCACTTTTCTGAAAATAGTAAATAGTGTTAATTCCCCAAATTAAAATGTCAAATTAGATAGAAATCAATATTATAATTTGTATTTTTAACATTGGCTTTTGAAGAATCAAATTTCTATGACAAACATAGAACTTACGGATTTGGTAAAGATCATCCTGAATCTAGTTTATAGAAGAATTACCTATTTTAAACTCATTACTAGATTGTTACACTTCGATCAGAAGCTGCATGTCTTTAGACAATGGTTTTTATGGATATACTTTAAACAATATATTACCATACAAAAGGGGGAAAAAACTCCTGTAAAACTGTGTAATTGACGAAACCCCCGGGATTACTGGGAGTCGGTGACAGTGAACGCCCAGATGAGAGGACACAGGTGCTCAGCAGTGCTCCACTGGCTCTGGGGCTTGTCCACTCTGTATACACTGGGGGATTTTCACACAGCTCTATTTTCTAGGGAGAAATAGGTGAATTGATACTTACTTTAAAATAAAAACAGAAAAAAAAAATGGCACTGCCATCTTTAACATGAATTCCCTGGACTGCCTTTGTGGACACCAGGGGTTCCAAACCACCAGTTGAAAATTTAACTTTCTTCGTTTTTACAACTTGAATGATCTTTACCATCATTTGAACATTAAATTCATGGCCAAAACGTAACGCTTGATCTCATCCCAAACCCAGGCCATCTCAACCCCAAACCAGCTTCTTTAGAGTGTTCCCTAGTTCTCAGTAAGTAGCAGCACTAGGCACCCATTGCTCAGGTCAGAAATATGGGTGTCGTCCTTGACACGCTCCTCTTCTCCACCCAGCACTGCCAATCAAGTAACTCCTGCTGGTTCTACTTCCTACACATTTCGCCAGTGTTTATTTCTGTCACCAATATTAGCATTCCAGTCCAAGCATCATCATTGCTTGACTAAGTCCAAAAACTCCCTAATCGTTTTTCTGTTTGTTTGATTTTTTAGACAAAGTCTCGCTCTATCACCCAGGCTTGAGTGCAGTGGTGCCATCTTGGCTCACTGCAACCTCCGCCTCCCGGGTTCAAGTGATTCTCCTGCCTCACCCTCCCGAGTAGCTAGGATTACAGGCGCTCGCCACCACACACAGCTAATTTTTGTATTTTTGGTAGAGACGGGGTTTCACCATGTTGGCCAGGCTGGTCTCGAACTCCTGACCTCATGATCCACACACCTCGGCCTCTCAAAGGGCTGGGATTACAGGCGTGAGCCACCACGCCCGGCCCATAACTGGTCTTGAGCAAACACGATGGCTCTGTTCCAATCTGTTATCTATTGTGGAGTTAGAATACAATTTTTAAATGCAAATCTGATCACATCTCCTCTATTTTTTAAAAAATCTTTTGATTTCTTCCCATTAGTAACAAGATAAATTTAAAGGTCCATGATAAAAACATAAAGACCAGCCCGGTGCGGTAGCTCACGCCTGTAATCCCAGCACTTTGGGAGGCCGAGGCTGGCGGATCACGAGGTCAGGAGATCCAGACCATGCTGTCCAATACGGTGAAACCCCGTCTCTACTAAAAATACAAAAAATTAGCCGGGCGTGGTGGTGGGCGCCTGTGGTCCCAGCTACTCGGGAGGCAGGAGAACTGCGTGGACCTGGGAGGCGGAGCTTGCAGTGAGCCAAGATTGCGCCACTGCACTCCAGCCTGGGCGACAGAGAGAGACTCCGTATCAAAAAATAAATAAATAAAATAAAATAAAAACAAAAACATAAAGACCCTGCCTTTAGGTCCAGCCCTTTCCTACCTCTCCAACCTCATTGTATGCCACACTTTCTGTTTTCCTTTATGTTGGACACACAGTTCTTGCTCTTCCTCCAGTACTATGCTTTCTTATCTCAGGAACTTCCATTTTATAGATTTTCTTTCTCTAGAACAGGAGTCAGTAAAATTTTTTAGGAGAGGGCCAGATAGTTTGCCAATTCCTGATCTAATCCCACTGCTTACCGATTCAAATGTCATGTTCTCATTGAAGCTTTTCTTAATCAATGTTAAGTGCCCTGCTGGGGACAGTGGCTCACACACCTGTAATCCCAGAGATTTGGAAGGCCGAGGCGGGAGGATGGTTTGAGGCGAGGAATTCAAGACCAGACTGGACAACATAGCAAGACCTAGTACCCACAAAAAGTTTTAAAAATTAGGCCAGGCATGGTGGCTCATGCCTGTAATCCCAGAGGACGCCGAGGTAGGCGGATCACCTCAGGTCAGGAGTTTGAGACCAGCCTGGCCAACATGGGGAAACCCTGTCTCTACTAAAAAATACAAAAACTAGTTGGGCGTGGTGGCAGGCGCCTGTAATCCCAGCTACTCCGGAGGCTGAGGCAGGAGAATTGTTTGAACCCAGGAGGCGGAGGTTGCAGTGAGCCGAGATCGCGCTACTGCACTCCACCCTGGGCGACAGAGTGAGACTCTGTCTCAAAAAAAAAAAAAAAAAAAAAAAATTAGCAGAGCATGGTGGTATGTACCTGTAGCCCTACCTGCTTGGAAGGCTGAGGAGGGAGGATCACTTGAGCCCAGGAGTTCAAGGTTACACTTCAGCCTGGGCGACAGAGTGAGATATTCTCTTAAAAATAATTTTTTAAAAAACAAGTTCCCTTATTAAATGTACTTGTACCACAAAATATATTTCTCCTTCATAGAACTGGTCATTACTGTACAGTTGGCCCTTGAGCAACATGGGGGTTAGGAGCATCAACCCCCTGTACAGTCAAAAAATCCATGCATAACTTTTGACTCCTCTCAAATTCAACTACCAACAGCCTACTGTTGACCAGAAGCCTTATATTGATAACATAAATGGTTGATTAACACATATTTATATGTTATATGTGTTATACACTATATTCTTACAATAAAGTAAGCTAGAAAAAATATTAAGAAAATCATAAGAGAAAATACTTTTACAGTACTGTACTGTTATATATTGATGCCATAAGTTTATAATGTCTGTTTATAAGATGAATCATCTGAAATGACAGGCGGCTGCAGCTGCAAACTTCAATCTAAGCTACATATCCTGCAATGCAACTTTTGCTTGTAACGTCATGACTTTTCTCTGCTTCTTGGAAGTACTTCCAACATCACTAGTGGCACTTCGTATGGGTCCCACGGTGTTATTCAAGGTTTATGTATTGCACTAAACATGATGAAAAATACACAAGAGCTGCAATAGATCACTTGTTATTGCAATAAGCAATTTACTGGAGAGAGAAACTGTTCACATGCAGACGATTTAGTCCACACAGCGTTTTCAGTGGATACTTACAATACTTGAGCTCCTCGCAATAGCAACAGGAGGTGGTTACAAAATTATCACGGTAGTACAGTGTGTGCTACAGTTAACTTCATGCAGTTACGATCTAATACTGCACCTTCACATTTGACATTTCTCTCAATTGCAGATGGTACCATGTATGATCTGTGTTTGTGTGTGTAAGTTTGGATAAATTTTAACTTTTTATAATAGATTTGCATATATTTTATGGTAGTCAATGATAAAGACCAGTATCTACAGATGTTTTATGTATTCATGACATACTTA
Organism: Homo sapiens; assembly: GCF_000001405.40. Lineage (NCBI taxonomy): Eukaryota > Metazoa > Chordata > Mammalia > Primates > Hominidae > Homo > Homo sapiens. The sequence continues at coordinate 243,428,595 of NC_000001.11, read as the reverse complement.
AATTTAAAACTTCTTTTCATTATTTCTAGGCTACATGGTTTGTCTGCAGGTTTTTTCAAATTGTTGCAAATCTCCAAAAAATTTTCCAATAAATTTATTGAGAAGAATCTGTGTATAAATGGGCCCAAACAGTTCAAATCTGTGTTGTTTAAGGGTCAACTATAATTAATTAGACAGTTATGAAATTCTTTTGCTAATATCCATCTTCCCTATAAGGATGTATACTCCATTAGAGTGGGAACTATATCTACTTTGCTATTTTATTCCAGCATGTGGTAGAAAATGTGACACACAGCAGCAATCAATCAATCAATCAATCAATGTTGAATGAACGAACCATTAATTTGCCACCTGACCTTCATTCGGCACGTTTGTCTTTCTTAGGCTTAGTTCTCCATCTGGAAATGGAGATGATAAATGCAGCTACTTTCAAGGTTGCTTCAAGGTACATAAGGTACTATGTGTGAGAGCATTCTAGGAACTCTAAAGCAATACACAAATGTAAGAAAATAAATGGAAAGATGCCCCAGGTGCACAGGACTGGGGCAAAGGCTGGCCCAATGGCCAAATCCTCTGGCTCATTTTGTTGGTCCTCTAGCTAAGAATGGTCTTTACTTTTTCCAAGGGTTGTAAAAAACACAAAACAAGGAAGACTATGCCACGGAGACCACGTGTGGCCTGCAAAGTCCGAAATATTTACTCTCTGGCCCTTTACGGAAAACGTTTGCAGACCCCTGGCCTACAGAAGTGCCTGGGCTTAAGTAAACATTTTAATAGTGAATGAATAATTATTACTTTGCAAGTATATCCATATTTTGGTATTTTGATAACTGACAAGCAGTGCCATCATCTGACTGCCTGTCTTCATTCAATAAAGCAAGTAATCAACGTAAAAATACCTCCCCCCCACCCCAGGCTAATATGCTTACTTTACATTTAAAAAAATACAAGGAGTCTATAAATATTTTCATTTCCTTCAATTATATCAAGAACTGTTTTTGAAACAGAGAAGGCATGGATGGCTGGGAAATGGTGTGGGGATGCCGAGCTGGAGGCCACGCGAACCGTGTCCACTGGAAGGGTGGCTGCTATCATCGTGCATGCGGTTGTCATGTGGAAGTCCAAGTCTACAGAAACCTATTCACTGTCTGCTGTGAAATACTGAGATTATTTTCTGCCCAGGGAATCCATTATCACACAGAAGTGAGAAATGGCACATGGATAAAAAATAGTAAGAGGCTGTGTTTATTGCCAAAAAAAAAATCCCCATTACTGCACAAAAAGAAAAGGATTTTGGAGTCAAAAGATCAAGATTCAAGTCTGAACTCTACCACTTATTCCATCTGTCACTTTGAGCAAACCTATTAGCCTCTCTGAGCCGAATTTCTTCATCTAGAAAAAGAGAATAATAATTATTGATGACATTTAGTGGGTGGCCTTTATGAGCCATGTGCTTTGCCATATTATATTTGATCTTTCCATCAAAATGCAAAGTAGATATGATTAGCGCCAATATATAGGTGAAGAAACAGTCACTCAGAGAACTTAAGTGACTTGCTCAAAGTAACACCACCAGAAAGAAGTGAAGGTTTTGTTTGTAGTCAAGTTCTGACTCTAGCAATGCTATTAGTGCAACCTCTGATAAGATGTTTAACCTCTTTAGACCTACTATGTGCTTTACCTTACAAAAAGCATATAAAATCTAATTTCTAGGAGAGATAATTTGAAATTCCTCCATATTACAATATTACCAACTTACACCTTAAAGGAAAATGGCTTTCCTCCATTCTTCCATGTTAAATCTAATTCTATGTCTTCAGAGAATAACAAAAAGAGGATGTACTCTCCTCTTTGTATATAATAAGAACAACCTAAATTAAGGAAGCATAAATACATAAAATAAAGTATTAGATTTTGAGCATGTCACAAGTAGCATAATGATGATGAATTCTACTTATTCCGCAGCAATTCCCCTTCAGTGTGTAAACCAAACACATTCAATATGCGGCACATGAGTTGACATGAAACCTTGATTACCTTTGCTTCATCGTCTCATGTACTCTCCCATGCTGGACACACTGTTCCTCCAATTCTTCATTTCTTCTCTGTAACTTTCCCAATTTATCATATGTATACCTTTTTTCTTGACTGAGTTGAGCTATTTCAGATCTAGAGGTGAAAACACAAAAATAATAGATGTTAGAAGTTCTTATTACTAGGGCATATTGTTATTATATAACCTTAACATTATCTTAAACTCCACACTTAAACATGATAGCATAATGAAAACTACATCCTTTGCAAAAGAAAATATTTCAGAAATGGCAAGATACATTGTAGAGACTCATGTGTTAGACAGAAAAAGGAATAACAACTTACTCTAACAGAAATGGCTTCCCTAAGGAATAAGACAAACATGATAATGATCAAATCTCTTTTTTAAAAGACTGTCATTCATTTAACAAATACTTACTGAGTGCTTGTTATAGGCCAAACACTATGCTGTCAAAGAAGAAACCCTAGGCCTAATTTCTATAACAGAGTTTCTTTTAATTAACATAACCAGTTTAATGGCACACAGTTAAAATAAAAATAGTTCTTTAATGGTTAATTTTATGTGTCAACTTCTTTGGGCCATGGTGCCCAGACATTTGGCCAGACATTATTCTGGACATTTCTGTGAGGGTGCTTTTTAGATGATATTAACATTTAAATTAGTAAACTTTGAGAAAAGCAGATTGCCGTCCATGCAGGCAGGCTTTATCCAATCCACTGAAGGTCTTAATAGAAAAAAGATTGACCTCCCCTGAGCAAAATGGGAATATCTTGTTTTTCGTGTCTTAGATGACAATCCAAGTCTCAAAATTTGAAGATCAGAAAGATGTTTATCCAAGAAAAATTATATTCCTTTCCTTGTATTAAGTAAACTCTAAATTACTGCCTACTGCCACCATCTCCTCATGCCCTAATGCCTAATCAGTTAGAATGGAAAGTTTAAAACTCTTGTATATTATGAGTCGTTTTCAGGTTAATGATTGGATTGTTTTCTGAAGACTCCTGACATAAAATTAATTCCCTTCAAAGAAAGAATTCTTCCAGTAGGCAAGATAGCCTTTTCTTCCTGGTCAGAAAAGGATTTGGATTTGCTAAGGGAAATCTTACTTTACAAATTGTTCATCCCAAGGACCAGGCTGCTCACGTGTATGGAGCAAAAACTCTTGCTTTTAGTTCACCTCATTCTTCATTTTGTTTTCATCTTGGTTCAAATGTCATCCAAAAGGAAGCTTGCCCTGATTGATACCTTGCAGTTCTCAATATGTCAGCACGTTTTTTGAAGCTACCTCTAGCCTTTATGCATACATTAGCTTATAATTTATTCTTTTAAATTGTGCTCTGTGCCTTGTCTTTCCTACCATATTCTGTATGAGAGCATGGATTATCTCATTTTCAAGTTCAGATCAAGTGCTCAATCTACATTTGCTTCTCCTAATAAGAATCTACCCATATTTGAAATAGTCCGAAAGGAGTTAATAATGACTTACGTTTCTCCTTTCAGAATCACATACAATACAAAAGAATTTAGAGGCAGTTATGATAAATTTTTGATCTGGTATCCCTTCCAAGATTAGTATCTCCTATCATACCATGCACTAAAATAAATTTCAAAAGAAGAAAAAAAATCCTTAAACCAGATTAGAAAAAAATGCAGAACATTGATCTTTTCCCAGGCACTTTCCAAGCAAAAGGCACTTTTAAAAAGAAAAATCACAAAGAAAAAAATAGATTTTACAATATAAAAATACAAAACTTTTATGCATAAAAAAATCACATTTAAAATATATCATAGGTTTGTGTGAGAGTATTCATTGTAGCATTGTTTCTAGAAACAACCTTTCTTTGCAACCCATAATCTGGAAACTTAACCAAGAAATCTATCAACAGGAGCTTGGTTATGTTACTTATTATTCTGATAATGTGGCTATTTATAAGTGATATTTATTGATCTAAAACTGTGACATATTAGTAACAAAGAGAAAACATTAAAAGTCAGCATGTGTAATGTGATTTCATTTTATAATTTAGAAAAATATTTTGACATGCATACCAACTATTAATATTGGTTATTTCTGGATGGTAGGATCAGGAATGTTTTCTCTGTTCTGTATTCATCCTTTTCCATACTTTCTAAATTTTTAAAATAGATATGTATTTTATTTGTTTTAAATAAATTCATTCTGATTTTGAAAAAAATCATAATAAAACAAAATGTAGATGTCACTGGTGGGGGAGGTTGTGTGTGGAAGGAACAGGGAATATATGGGAGTTCTGTACTTTCTGTCCAGTTTTGCTGTGAACCTAAAACTGCTCTAAAAAATAAAGCTTATTAATTAAAATCAATGTAAACAACAGGAAATTATTTACAAAAATAAGACAAACATTAAAAGCATAATTTAATGAAACACTAACTGCACTCTCCATCAAAATTCCAATTAAAAAGTATAAGAAATATTGAAAATATCTACAGAAGAAACACAAATGATCAATACCATTTATAACATATTCAATTTCACTATTATTCAAAAAATAGCACAACAAAACCAGATACTACCACCAAATATTTACTGCATGCCACCGTATAACAAACAGTGAAATCCATCCTTTACATTCATGATCTCAATTAATCCTATAAGGTACTTGTAAGGGTTTCTTTTCTTTTCTCTGTGAGGTAAACATGAAGTTGAATAATTTGCCTAAGGTCATCCAAGTAGTCAAGCCCAGATATTACTTAGTCCACCTCTAAAGGGGTGGTTCCACCCACCTGTGCAATATTGCCTCTCATGCTTTTTTAAAAAAATCTCACTTCTTTGTAATGTTATTTACTAATATGGCTACATATACAGTTATTAGAAGTTAGTGTAGTACTTCAGCAAGGTAAAACACATCAACACCCTTAAAAGGATTAATCGTCTTGGACCAGCAATTAAGGAAACAATCAAAAATTTAGATTTAGGTACAAAGTTTTTGTTGTATTATTATTCATAAACGGTTAAAAATTGGAAGCATCTTAAAAGCCTAATAATTCTTATACACGCAAATCATTTAATAAAGTTTTGTTTTCAGAGTATTTACTGATATAGAAAAATGTTCATTAGATATCAAATGAAAAAGCAGACGCAAAACTGTATATACGGTATAATCTCAATCACACTATAAATGTACACAGACATACACATGAAAAATGACTGAAGGGAAATATATCAGAGGTAAGAATAGTTATCTCTAGCTGGTAGTGGCACAGGAAATTTTCCTTAATTCTTCTTTGTATTTTCCAAATTCCCTGCATTGAGGATGTCTTACATAATCCCAAAAATATAAATGTTATTTATAAAGTACACATCACTATCAAGTGTGTATTGCAACAATCTTTTTTTCTGCTTCACATTTTTGTTTTTTTCTTTGTTTATAATTGTAATTTGCCTACCAACTTCCATTTTTCAATAAAAATTTGACATATATGCCTGCACATCATCCTTTTTCTGTCTGCAGCTCACGATATGTTCCTAGAACTAGTAGTTTGCAAAGCTCAAAGAGTAAACTTACAAGTTTTCTGTTAGTTAGGAGATACATTTCTGGCATGATTATCCTGTGTCATATAAAAGGATAATTGACTCTAATCCATTTTCATAGAAAATTCAGGCAATTTCTGGCTTTACAGAAGCATGAACTTTCCCCTGTATTTTTATATACCAGTTATGTTGCATAATTGCATTTGCATGAAATATATTTTACTACTATAATTCGGATTAAAATGATAATTGCTTTCAAAGGGAAATACAATATCTTAATTTTTTATTCTTTTAGGTTCTAGTTTGACTTTTGGTAACAATTAGCAGAGGCCAATATCAGTCTCCTCTTGTAGAAAATATAATTTTTATAGTATCCCAACCTAACATCATCTAAACATGCAAAGGAAAAAAACAGTTCAACCGGGTGTGTGTTCTTCACCTCAATTAAACTCACACAGTTGGATACCTACTGTTGCCAAAACAGTAATATAATTTACACATTATAGTCCACACAGTAAAACTACACTAAAAGTCATTTAACAATATTTATAACACCATAAAGTATAGTGTTAAAATATATGAACTGCAATATGTACCAAAATTATAAAATTTGTTTCTCATCATCAGTGATTAAAACCGGGATCATTGCTCTAGCCTCAATACTCACAACCCTGGTGACAGATTAGAATTCAAATCTTAATGATCAATTTACAATTAACAAGATAGAAGTGAAACAAATTAAACCAACCATTATATATAACGAGACCCCATGGACTCCCATTGTTCCTCTTAATTACAAAACGCAAATCACAAATACACAATGGGCAGTGTTAGACATCAGTCCACAAGCCTCACAACCCAGAAAGTGACAATGACAGAAAAGAAAGAAGCAAAACCACATAGACCCTGGTTCTATGCTCTATCCTGTTCTTTTCAGTGTGCAAGAGGTGGAAGCTAAAACCTAGCACACACTTCTCTCCACTCTGTGGCTGGCAGAGGCTCACTCCCTGCCAGCACCCAATCCTTCCAGCTCTCCCAGGCCAGGTGTTAGATAGCACTGCAAACCGCACTGCAACGTTTTACTGCTGATTCATCTAAGCGCGTGGGGAGAGAGAACACTTCCTTCACTTTGATAAAGAAAAATCACAGTTGTACCGAAGATATTTAAATAGCTCCGTTTACCTCCTTCAAAAAACAACCCCATAACTATAATAAGCTCTCAGAGTACTGGGGAATACAGAAGGAAGGATAGCGAAAGTTTATGTGAGCTTCAACTAAAATCAGCCAGAATGTCTGCCTGGTGCCAATTAAAAGCAAAATGGAATTAATTCTCTTGCCTGATGGTCAAAAACAAGCTATACAACATGCACAGAATCGGCAGTTCATTTTAAGTTTTAAAATGGGACGTGCCATTCACAAACCCCGGGGTTACAGACACCACTACGTGCAGTGTGGAGTACACAGAGCGCGCAAACTACTGTGCTAATCACTATGGAGGCTTCCAGAAAACAGAAGCAGTCGTCACTGCCATAATGCGACTTACGGTCTCCTTGGGGAGAAAACACATACAACAGACACACACACGGAGGTACCATTTCAAAACATTTTCACAGAGCAACAGAGCAGCCTAGCATGAAGCTGGGGCAGAGAGTAAGGGCGTACGTGCACGCCGAGCCCATGCTCTCAGCTTTCCCGTCATTCTGCATGGGCTTCAGTCAAATGACTAGATCTGTGAGTTTAAAATCTTGTTTTAAATGGTAGGAATCTATTTGTTTAGTTGGTATTTTGAAAAACAAGACTCTTAGAGTAATGTTGCTAGTAACAGAGGAAGGAAAAATATGTCTTAATTATTGCTCAATACAAAATAAATACACTTACTTTTCAAGAAGAATTTTACTGTAATACTCTGAGGAAAAGCTGGACCAAAATTACCATATGGATTGCATAAGTATAAATTTGGAGACTGAGTTTCCACAATGACAAAACTTTAGAAACTCCAAGATTTTCCTTACCTCAAAGCACAGGGAAAATTATTTATCCCAATAGTTTGGCATGGGGTATGCAGAGGCACACTCCTGGAGGGCTTCTTCAGAGTTTACTACATTAATAATTTGTATTTTAAAAGAAGCAGTTTAAGCCCTTCAAGTTTTATAGGTGGTTTCAAAGCAGAAGGTAACATCAAAATGGAATGTAAAACTTAACATGAATGAGTTATTGAAAATGTCATAGTAAGAAGCCAGGGAGAAATGAAACTGGAACTAAAAGAAATTAAGAACAAACAACCCTAAAATCAAAATTTGTCCTATTCACTACCTTCTTGTGAGGCACACAAAATGCACTTTTCGTAAGTTTTAGGGGCGCTTGAGAGTTTTAAAAATAGTAAGTAACAATTTATCAAGTGTTTACTACTTGCCAGGCCTTGGTTGAGTCAAATTGTAAACTTAGAGTAGGTGCCTGCTTTAATTCATCAGAGTTACAAAATACAACTAGATCCACATTTTCCTGATCTGGCTGTTTTAAAAAGGCTTTCATTGTGGCATAGACTTATGTCCGTCGGAAAATGACAGTCAGACTTTCCCTGGCAAAGACAATAGCTATGTAAAGTGATACCCAAATTACCAGTCAAGACCCTTAAAAATGCCACCAGTGAAAATAATAGCAGCTACTGTGTATTACTATGTGTCAGGCACTGTGCTAGGCACTTGATACGTGTATGTATGCGTATCTATATACACAATTCTAATTCCCATAACAATCCTGCAGTGTGGCTTTAGAAATGTTTTTACAGAAGGAGAAGCTGAGGTTTGGGGAAATGAGGCCATGTACCCAAGGTTACAAAGCTCCAAGTGGGAGAGTGAGATTCAAACCTAGTTCCTCTGAATTGCCATGTGTTCTTTACTGCACACTGTCAGCCATCAACAATGGGACAGACTGGCATCAGAAGTCAGATCAGGAGGTGCGAATAGCACCACACCTATTTGTTTCATTCATTCATCATTTATTCATTAAATGCCATCTATGTCAGATACAAAAGAATACATCCAATTTACAAAGTACTGTTCAGGAGCTGGAGGAATGAGAAGCAGGAGGAGCAATAGAGGTTCTGAGTTAGACCAGTACAGGCTAAGATGACAGATCTAGAGGAGGAAAAAGAGGGCCTAGGGGCACAGAGTAAGTTAACCGTTACATGCCAAGGACGCTTACTTCTCCACGGAAATTTAAAGGTGAATTTTTCCTTCCCAAACTTTCTCATCATAACTACTGTGGCTTGAATTTTCTTTAGCAATAGATGTAAAATACTGTAATTACCATAAGAAAGAACGTATACTTTGGAACCAGAAATACCTATGTTAGAACCGTAGCTCTCCCACTCACCAGTTATTTAAACAGTTTTGGTTTCCTTATCTGGAAGATAATAATTCCTGCCTCAAGTTGTGGTGAGAATTAAATAACATACCAAGCACCTTTTTGTCTCTTTTATATAATAAATTTCCCTAATTAGGTCTCCTTGGAGAGCAAGATCACTAATCATTCACAAACCAATTTTAGACCTAATACATTTATATAAAACCCAGATTGATATCATTTTATCCCTAAATGATACAATCTTGTTTGTTTGCTTCTAACAAATTACTTTTGGATCTATGTGGTGCAAATCAAGTATTTCTGGTTAAGAATAGCTACTGTTGATATTTTATGGGTCTCTTTCATGACAAAATCATTTGGTTTTCTTGGTCAAATTTCCTTGAAATATCTGGTATTTTGGCACCTAGGTTTTCCCCTACCAAAATACAATCTTAGTATACGCTAGGAAGGTGCGCATGTCAGAGTACATTCTTGGTGGTTACAGGAGCCTCTGCCTTCCTGGTGAGCAGGGAGAGTTGGATGCACGAGCCCTCTGATTCCCCAAAAGATTCAGGGATGGGGGTTCTATCAGCTAAGACAGCTTGTTGATGCAGGATTCCAAGATGGAGCTCAGAGTGATCAGATATGCCCTGATACTCCCAGAAATCCTTCCCGAATGAAACATCTAGGTCAGTAGTTTGTTTGCTGAGCCATATTTCCTGCTCTCAATAGATCTATGTGAGTTTCAGAAAAATGCAGAAAAGAAGACACACAGGCAATTTTTTCATTGAGTTATCATATAAAGTAGTATTTGACATCTTATCAGTTATGTGAATATTGCCTTCTATAGTTCAATTTAAAGTGATTCTGTCCAATGTCTTTCATTTACAAAAGAAGAAACTATAGTCCAAGTAGGTCAAATACATTTGTCCAAGATTATTCAGTTACTGTCGGAGCTGAGATGGGGAGTCGGGCTTCTTGCAGTTTAGAATATGAAATAATTTATTCATTGAGATAATCTGACTAGAAAGTGTATAGAAAAAAGTCATTAAGATTCCAATCAATGGATTTATAAAAGAGTAGTATGCTATAAAATGAATGATGGCTGTTCTATTAAAATATAACAATTTTAGGAGAAGGGAAGAATAGTTTTGGTTTATTTATTTCAAAGTACCATCTACTTTCATTTTTATATATACACATTTCATCTGTTATCATTTAACCTAAAGACAGCTTTTGTGTTCATGGTGAATTGTAACAATAGATTAAAATGTGTTAACCATACCTATGTAAGATTTTATAACTGCTTGATTTATCTGCATGTTTATGTTATTACCATATTGATCCTTCTTTCCTGAAATTTCACAGTTTTCAATTCTAAACATTGAAATGTCAAATAATAGTACATACACATAACCATGAAAAAACATAAAAGCGTATAGACAATTAAGAAAATGTCCATATGTAGAAAATATTTTCAAAGAAAACATCAGCAGATACCTAATTTTGACATTAGACTATAAAACAGTGCAAATGATGTTTTTTAAGGAAAAATTAGAGTAATCACACAAACAGTGCTCTTGAAAGTATTCTATAACATCACCTACCTGGTTTTTTGAGAGATTTGTTCCAGTTTCTTGGCTAATGTACAGCATTCTTCCTTTAACTTTGTCAAAAATGTATTCTGGGAGGTCAGCAACAAATACTGTTCATTTTCTAGAAATAACAATAAACCCCCACCAACATAAGATGTTTATGGTTGTCGCTCTGCAGTGCTTCCATACATAGAGTGGTAAAGTGCTTAGACCCCTACACATTTCCAATAAGCCACTAGATCACCTTCAATGTCCTAAGTCAAAGGACTTATCATCTGGAAAGACACTCAATCTTGGGAGTCATTTATTTTCAACATAATTATACACCAGAAACATTTTTCATCATACCAGCTTGGTGTAACATTTTAACATGTTAATAAAGTGTCAAATACCTCAAGTGGAAGAATAGATGCTTATATCTTTGCAATATGCAAGATATTATATTTTTATTTTGACAATTTTACTATAAACAGAGTGTCAAAAATTATCACAACCAGATAACTCAAAACTAAAATCATCGAGGAATTCTCTTCTACACTGTAATTCATGCTTTGTTTCATATTTGCACACATGGTTTACTACCACCACCACCCCCAATCTTGCATACACTTCTCTAATTATGAAGGTAAAAATGTGTATTTTCTTTAGAATTTTAATTTCATTGTCAACAGCATGAGCTTCAATGGAGATCTGGTCAAAGAAATTGAAAACAGTGTGATTTTGTGTATGTGTGTACAAGACAAAAGGAAATGTTCTTAAGGCGGTTTTAACAGTTAAATACATTCTAATCTAGTGCTTAGATTCTGCCCAAGACTCTGATCACTAGGATCATGCTAGCAGTGGGGGCAAAAACAATAATTTATCCTACAATTGCCTCTTTTTGTTTTTAGAGGAAAAACTTCTACTAAACCTGGTGAATTTTCGTTTCTTCTGGCCAAATGCTGTTGGAAGAAAATCTCTACTGAAAGTGATAGAGGGAATTATGTGAGTCAATATGACATTTGCCTCTTCATAAGTAAATAGATTATTTAATGACTTGCCTGTTGGCAATTTTTCACCCATAGGATAAGAAATAATTTCTTACTGTGTCATCAAATACAATATATTAATACATTAAATCATATGAAAATTACCTCTAAGCATAAGTTTTAAGAGGCCTTTATTTCTTTTCAATTTTAGCCAATGATTGGCAAAAAGCATATAGCATACAAATCAAAATAAATCAAGGCACTAAAATTAAGCAACATTTTTCTGGAAGAGACAGGATCAATTAAACTTTTGTTTTAATAGTACAATCAGTGTGGAGTATGTGGTGTGGAATTATAATGACTGACACTGTCTTGTTTTGACTAACACTGTCTGTGAACACACAACTCAAAAGTGAAAGAAACTACATAATGCTCTGACTGAACAAATCAAACTGTCTATTTTCAAAGTGCATTTTACTTTCAAATTAAAGGTAAAGAGTTACTGGCCAACTCAGTCTGCAGAATAGTGCCAATGTGATGAAAGATGGCAATTTTTAGCCAAGCTGCCAGCTGTGGTCAGTGCCTTGTATTAGTGAATTTTAACAGCAGTTGTGAGAACTTGAAGAATGCAAAGGATTAAACATCACTCTAGATTGGGTTGGGGGAGGTGGGGAAATCATACAAATGCTAAAAATGTTCGAAGCTGCAAAGATTAAATAAAGGAACATATCAATTTGGAGCCACTGAATTACATCCAGCTGCGACAGTGAATTAAGAACCGATTAATGGCTAAAGCTTTTCTCCAGTTTGGATGCTGAAGCAAACTCATTAGGCTTTTAGAGTAGCTATAATGTGTGTACTGTGGGAACTGTTCAATGCTATTCAGGAGACTCTAACTGTAAGCTCAGAGCATTTCCCGCAGAGCTTCTGATGCTATTTTCTTTATATAACATGTGTGCCTGAAAACCCAGCCAAAAACAAGCCCTTTGTTTTTCTACTTTGTTGTGGTCTCTCTCAGCTTTACGTTTCTTGAACACAGGTAAATAAACTCATAATCCAGATGGTGCAACAGATGTGAGAGCAGCACTCTGAAATCAACAGACAGTGGGCAATACTTTCCATTTTCTCTTTTAAACGCTAACTAATATGTAATTCGGAATCTCCGGTGTAGTTAGCATCTGCTCCCTTCGGCCAGCCAAAGGTTACAGGTGTTCCTGATGTCATTTCACAGTAAGGCGTGGGCCTGACTTGTGAGCTAGTGCCCAGGCTCTAATCTTTCCCTACCACCTACCAGTTTTGTCATGCTGGGCCTCCATTTGCTGTATCTTCTGTGTCAGCTCCTGCTCTCTTTGCTGGGCCTGAAGGGCTTGGGCCTTTGCTTCCTTGCTAAAGCTCTGCTGAATGCTATCTTTTTCCTGTCTGCAAAACAGAGAGGAGACATACAGAAATTTAATCTGCAGATGCACAAACCCCCATCATGTCCCCTATAGACCAGAGAGAGCTGATACGTAGTAAATTGTTAAGCATAAGAAGACAAGGACCTTTCTAATGACCCTCCCCCACTTTAGGGGGAAGATCCAAACAACCTTCCATACAGTGTTAAATACGTGCCATGAATCCAAATGGACTAAAGTGTGCAGTGTCAAAACATCATAACAACTAAATAATGGTATTTTGTAACTTTAAAACACAAAACTTTTTTCTCTAATATTCTTAATGTTTTACACTATCAATGAATGTTTCATCTTCTGAGTGGTCAATCTTTCCCAGAGATACTGGAACTCTAGGAACAAAACTTAAATTCTTAAAACTAAGCTTTGTAGACCACCTCTGTTTTCACTCTAAACTTAAAATGGAATCTTAAATATAATGCAGGAGCCTCTATCTAGAGGCGAGTAAATGATTCTGCAGTGCCACATTCATGTTTTCACTAAATATCTTCACACATCAGGCCATATAATGTGAATATGAATACAAATATGAATACGAATAACTTCCCCCAGCACTTCATAATAAAATCCCTCGTGGGTCACATTGAAAGAAATTGCAGGATGAAAAGCTTCTGTAGTCAGACAACAACCCATCGTACTGTGATAGGACACTGACCTATCCCACTGGGTCAATAACCAAGCACAGTGGCTCCAAAGAGAGAAACTTCCTAAACAATTAGAACCTGGGGAATGCAAAGGACCTCAATGCTGGCAGCACTGTGGATACTGACAGTGTGTGTGTGCATGTACATGTGCACACACACACACACACACACACACACACATATTAGAATGGTTCTTCAAACTCTAAATATGGGTAAGTGATATTAGGGTTTCCTTCAATTAACTGACTTAGTTATTTCTAACTCCTGATCTCCTTGCGGGCATTTCTCATCCATGCTGCTTTAGTTTACTAATTGAGATATTTACTGCTTAGCCTTTGCCAAACTAAAAATAAACAATTCCATAAAGCTATCACTACTAGTCTATGTACCGCTGTGGAACTTCAATTCACTGGCTTCTAATTATAAAGCAACATAAGGAAAGCCTGTATTAAAATTGGTCAATGCATGTGGTCATGTTGTAGTATAAAATTCTGGAATGAAAATACACCCACACCTCACTCAAATGGAATCATCGGGGGTCCATGCTAAATGTGAAATAAGGTCCTGTCTGGTACTTCTAATAACAACACCTCCCCCCGGGATGTGGTCCAAGGTCTTGCGTCGCACTCGGTTCCAAACCAGTATATACAACAAATGGATAGTCAGACTAGGCTACTTTTTGCCTCCCCAGTCACACCATGTATTTTCTGGCCATGGATCACTGCACATGTCTCTTCCTCTTCCTGGAAAGCCCCTCCACCTGCCCACTCAATCCCCCTGTAAGATGTATACATACAACTACCCGCTTCAGGCCTAACTCAAAATTCTTCCCCTCTCCTTCCTCTCTCCTGAATTAACTATTCTTCCCTCAATGACCTCAATATATGTTGTGTACATCGTACAAAGATAGTATTTATCACACTTTAGTTATTGTTTAACATGTCTGCTTCGTTTGTCATCTTTATCTCTCTATACCCTCAGCCCAGCCTCAGTGCTTGGCACACAGGAAGTGGGTGGTGAATATTTCATGATTGGATGTTGTTATACTCTTGTCATAGGGGAAAGGAAGGCTGCTATCTTAACGTGTAGCTGGAGAATCTGCTTAAGTCTTACGAGAGGAGGCAAAAACTTTTCAGACGTGTTAGAAAAAGGTGCTTAGAAGAGAATGGTTCTAATGGCTCTGCCAGCTGGAGACCGTGCTGCTAAAGGAGTCAGCTAAAAAAACAAAAAGCCCTGTCAGACCATCCCCAAGTCAGACCCCCTGCCGGGGCAGGAGCCAGAGATAGAAATCTGGGGCTCTGCAACCCCTAACAATTGGGTGACATAAATGCATTCTCCAACACCAATACCCATCTGAAAGTGAAAGGGGCACTATTAATAATTATACCAAGATAACAGTCACAACTGAAACTACCCATCACAAACTGGTACTTACAGTTCCCCAATGTAAAGGGGTTGTCAATCTCACCATCATTCTTTAGAATAAGCTGCCTAATTACTGATATTCTAAATTGACTATAGGTCAGGCACGGTGGCTCACATCTGTAATCCCAGCACTTTGGGAGGCCAAGGTGGGCAGATCACTTAAGGCCAGGAGTTAGAGATCAGCATGGCCAACAAGGCAAAACCCCATCTCTACTAAAAATACACAAATTAGCTGGGCGTGGTGGTGCATGCCTGTAATCCCAGCTACTTGGGAGGCTGAGGCATCAGAATCACTTCAACCTGAGAGGTAGAGGATGCAGCGAGCAGAGATTGTGCCACTGAACTCCAGCCTGAGTGATAGAGTGAGATTCTGTCTCAAAATAGATAAATAAAAATAAAAAATAAATTGACTATAGAAAAGAACTACTGTCATAATTGAAGTCCTTTTTATAAAATAAAACAATTTAAAAGACTTCTACCAACAAATGTTGAGTTACACATCAACTGATGTTTCTCGAATCCTTCCCCAAATTTCCCTCTATTTGGGAAACTATACATTATGTTTCATTGCCTAGAAACATGACATAGTCTTGCTTTCCAACCTCCTTTCCCCTTCCACTTTCCTATGTTGCCTTCTCTCCTCTCTTGCAGGTTCTGACTTGGTAGGCTTTTTATAAATTCCCAGAATGTTAGAACTAAAAGGGAACCTCAAATGTGTTTCATCAAACCCTCTCACTTTACAGTTGGAAAAAAAAAACCTACTTAAAAATCCCCAAGGGTCACAAAGAATTTGAAGTCTGCTTATAGGTTGCATAGTGAATGATTTAAAGGCAGAGGTAGGATTAAAATGTTTTTATTTGGGGAATCCTATTTTATAATACTCTAGAGCAGGGGTATGCAATCTTTTGGCTTCCCTGGGTCACACTGGGAGAATCGTCTTGGTCCACACATAAAATACACTAAAACTAATACTAATGATTGCTGATGAGCTGGGAAAAAAAAAAGGAAAAGAAAAGAAAAGAAAATCACACAAAAAAAATCTCATAATGTTTTAAGAAAGTTTACCAGTTTGTATCGGGCTGCATTCAAAGCTGTCCTGGGCCGCCAGTTGGACAGCTTACTCTGCTTGCGGCCTGGATGGTTTTGAATGCGGCCCAACACAAATTCATAAACTTCCTTAAAACATTATGAGATTTATGCACGGGCCTTTTTGTTTTTTCCTTTTTAGCTCATCAGCTATCATTAATATTAATGTCTTTTATGTGTGGCCCACAATTCTTCTTCCAGTGTGGCCCAGGGAAGCCAAAAGATCAGACACACTGCTCTAGAGGTAATACGATAATGGATTGAAAAAATTATAAAAAGCACGTAGGCATTCAAGGAGCAACTAGAGAAGAATGTAAATCAATGCATTAAGTATTTATCATAACTCTCTTATGTGAAAGGCACTCTGCTAGGCACTGGGTCAAATAAAGATAGATAAGACATGCTCCTTGCCCCTAGCAGGGAGTTCAAAATGGCCAAACAGAAAGTAGATGGCAAAATACTTCGTAAGAAAGGTATAAGGGGAAAATTTACCAAAGCATAACAAAATGAGAGTCAAATCCAGCTGGGTGTGAGAGCCTGGTGAAGGATGGTCAAGCCAGTCTCTCCAATTGGTTTGCTTTAATTCCCACTCAAAACACTGAGTAAAAAAGAATTTCTTGGTAGTTATGGGGCTGAAAGATTTATTCACAATCACTCAAAACGGGAAACAACTTAAACGTGCATCAACTGTTCAATGGATAAACTGTGGTATAGTCTAACCATGGCTAGGAAGGGTAGAAATAACAAGGAACAATGCCACATACAGCACTTGGCTGAACCTCAAAAGCAGTACACGTAGTTTAAAAAGCCAGACACCAAAGACATATATTATGATGTCATTCACAGGCCATTCAAGAAAAGTAAACACTAAGGGACAGAAAGTAGATCCGCGTTGCCAGGATTTGGAAGTAGGAGAGGGGTACCAGGGAGCAAAAGGGCACAAGGACATGTTTTGGGTGGATATAAATGTTCTTCTATGTTATGACTATGATCTTTCCACAATTCTATATATTTGTCAAACCATATTTACCTGCACAGTTAGAAATTGGTGATATTTTATTATATTTAAATTTACCCCAATAAAGCTGATCTTTAAAAGGAGCAAATCAGTGGCTTACACCTGTAATCCCAGCACTTTGGGAAGCTAAGGCAGGTAGATCACTTGAGCCCAGGAGTTCGAGACCAGCCTGGGCAACCTGGTGCAATCCATCTCTACAAAAAAAACTACAAAAATTAGCCAGATGCGGTGGTGTGTGCCTGTAGTGCCAGCTACTCAAGGAGCTGATACAGAAGGATCACTTGAGCCCAGGGAGGTTGAGGCTACAGTGAGCCATAACTACACCACTGCACTCCAGCCTGGGCGACAGAGTGAGACCCTGTCTCAAAAAATAAAAAAATAAATAAAAATAAATAAATTAAAGGAGGAGCAAATGGTCTAGAATAGGAACATCCACCTTTATTCTCCAAGTTATTCACATCACCTGTAATCCAGGCGTATGTAGGCCATGTCAATGTTTTCTTCATAAAAATTCAGAATTAAAGGAGTGAACAAGTACTGGCTAGGCCTCAAACACAGATTACATATACATGGAAGCATAGTCATTCCTTTTTACCAATTATAGTTCTGGTTGATTGCATTTTCTAAAAATGGTCACAATGATATTTACCATCCCACTTTTTAGAAACGGCACTGAAGCATTAAGCTTATATTTTTGATACTCAACTTTTTCATATCGTTTATTATTTTAAATCTTGCAATTTAAAAAATGTTCATGTCACAGAGCAAAAATGATTTGTTAAGCAGATTTTTTAAAGTACATTTTCTAATGATGTTAAATTTAGCTCAACAATGACCCTGGGACAGAAAAAATGAAAGGCTCAAGTCTGGAACAAGGACCTGGTAGTTGTGGGGTTGAAGCACCAATCCCACCTTCCATGTTCCTACTCACCTTTTTACTGATGTCTGAAGTTCCAATGTGAGACATACAACTCTTTTGGCTAAAAGGTGTTTCCCTTTTAAGATAAAATTTTGTGAGCTTTGTGATAGTAGCATATTGGTATGAAAAAACTTGTGAGAATTTATAACATGCTTACTGGCTGAAAATCATTAAGGAATACAGACAGAAGGGGCAGGGAGGTGCTGGGTACCGATGTGAGTTTAGACAGAAAATGTACACCTGTCCCAATATTGGTGCTATTAGCTTTGATAGCTTGATTAACATCATTGGTGTGCCAGACGATATTTAACAACAGGGCTCCAGGGGACAGGAAATCCCTCTTTGGTAGTATTCACCAATTTTCAGTGTAGACACTTCCACCATGCTCTATTTTCAGCTACCAAAGTGACATCACTGAATACCAAGTTGGGAAGAAATACACATAATTGGCTCTCATGGGCTGGTACAAGTCAGACTCAGCAAAACAGCAGTTAGGTGAGCTGTCCCAGGCCTCTCTACTGTAAAGTTACTCCTTTCCTCTCTGTATCAGGTTGGCACAAAAGTAATTACTTTTAATGGCAAAAATCACAATACTTTTGCTCCAACCTAATAAGTAAGAGGTAATTTGTTGGGAGATGCCTAGACTATGCAAACATCCTATTCTTCATCGAGCTCTCATCTAATAGTTTTACATCCAAAAATGACTTTTTTACTCCATTATTCTTTCTCTATTTTTTAGTTAACATTGTATTATAAGAAAGAGCTTTCCCTTCTCTCTCATTTATTAATTCATTAATATCAGCATGGAGTCATGGATTCATATCTTATTCAGTGGGTTATAATCCATTATGATTATTATTTTTATGCTCAATTTATCCTGGATTTGGCCAGGGGGAACCCTTTCAAGGTGGTTCCTACGTGACATGTCTCTATTGTTCACGTGGCTTTCTATCTCCACAAAATGTTGCAGGCTCATCTTGTAATGTCCTTGTACCAGTCTTGGAATCAGCATTTGACCAAGGAGCTGTTTTTGTGCCTTTAATGGAGAATGGTATTTAGAAATCAGGATCTGTCACTAGGTGGTGCTCACTGCTACTGCAAAATCATTGCTTCTAGGTCACCTTGGTGGACTAAGTCTGGATATGAATATACATGTAAGTGTATAAATGTGAATATAAATATAAATATTTGTCTGTATCCTATATGAATATATGCATACACATTCATACTGGTCTTTCCAATTACAATCCAACAACATACATAGAACCTTGTCTCCCTTTTTTCCATAATTGTAATTTTTTCCTCAATAGTAAGAAACTTGGTTCCTATTATCCTCAACATACTTGTTTGTTCAAACTTGGAATACACAGAAAGTAGTTTCAAAATTAATAATCTATGGAAAGCAAATCTACTAGTAACTAGATTTCAATATTTGCTTATAGTTTTGTTTTGTTTTGCCTTGTTTTTTAAACAAATGTATAGGTACTTTTTGAGTTTATTCTCTTTGTGCTCTGGGAAGATGACACCTTGAGAGGCAATGGAGTACAGCCAAACTCACAGAGCTAGAGGGTCAGAGTATGGCATCTACCACCTTATCACCTGTGTGACTATAGACTAATAACTTTCTTCCTTTAATACTGGGGTTCTTCATTCAAGCAGAACAAAAAGAAAATCCAACCTTAAAGGACTAATCCTTTTAAGAAGCTACTAATTACTAATGTTTACACATAAGCTAAGGTCTTTACATGCATTCTTTTATTTAATCCTCATACCAACCATATAAAGTAGGTTCTCTTAGTATCTTCACTTTATAGATAAGAAAATGGGAGCCTAGAGAGGTTATACAGTATGTCCAAGTTCTTTAGTTATTAAAGGTTACAGCCAGGAAATCCAGGGCTATCTGACTCTAAAGTCCACAGTGAATCACTATGCTTCAGTCTCTTCTTTTATCAGGGATGTAGAGAAATGAGAGAAGGTTGAAAGGATAACAAGTGTCTATTTCAATTATCTATATGGGAGTGTGCCATTTAATAGCCATATTATCCATCTTGACAGCCAAATCCCAAGCTAGTTCTCCTTCTTCTTTCCCTGTTGTCCCCTAAGCTATTGGATTACTTTCTCCTACAATGACACCATCAATTAGTTGTGTCCTTCTCGAAGACATATATTCACCTTTGCAAAAACATTGAAAGGTACCACAAACACATCTCCTGCCTCAAGTGGCCACAGACTCTAGAAAAGATAAGACATGTGCATCAATCTGGAATCTAAATCCATGGAGAATAGGAACCTTTGTTTTGCTCACTAATTTATCCCGAAAATCTGGAATAGTGCCTGGTACACAGTTGTGTGGTCAATGAACATTTCATGAATGAATAAACGAATGAATGAATGATCAACTACTAAAAGACGGAAAGTACTAAGTATCCTCACAGGTGTAAGTATCATCCTGTCTACTGACTACAGTCAGAGAATATGATAAGATAATCTCTATTTTTGCAAGAATTTATTATTATTATTGAAAATAAAACAAAACAAAAACAATAATAAAATTGGTAGACAGCATGATGTCTTCCATGTTTCAGAAGAACCCAAAATTCTATGCTTATTTACAGCTAACAGGGGCTGTATTCCCTTATTTGAGCAAATGTGGAACTACTGAGAAGAAACAGAAAGGAAAACACAGGAATGAGATTCTGGAATCTCTACTTCCTTAAGTATGCAAAAGACTTAATGGCATATTTCCTGGAGTAAATTACTTCTATTTTCTTCATTGCAAAGTATGTCAGAACTTCAAGCACAATGTTGAAAGATGAGTTATCAGATCAGAGAATGAGTCACTTCTAGGGAAGAAAGCAGAAACAGAAAGGAGGTCAACTTCTTTCAAGGGAATATACACAAAAGAAAGGAAATATTTAACAGAAACATCTCTAAAAATAATTTTCCCTCCAAAAATGTTCTTACAGTATCTCCAAAATAATTTGAAAACTTACCTTCAAGGCAAAAGACAATACAGTAGACTAGCTATTGCCTGTTTCTATTACATATGCACAATTCCCATCTACTTTTAAAACAAAACCACAGACTCTATCAACTCCAGTTACTAGCGCATCACCCTTTGCATGTCTGTACTTTCTATTTTAAAAGGCACATTCAAATGCACCGACCTCTCTATTCTTCATAACATCTCTGTGGGGCAGAGAGATGGAACAGATATTCCTGTTTGATAGATAAAGTGTCTCAAACTCGGGAATTAAGAGATTTTTCTCAAAGCCATGCAGCTAGTAAGTAGCAAAGCTGGAATCCAAATCTGTCTTCTCACTCCAAGTCCAGTGTTCTTTCCATTCCATGGCACTGCCTCACATGATGGGTTTGTTTAATCAAACAGTGGATTGCGCATCCATTCAACAAATACTTAAGCAACTACTTTGTGCCAAGCACAAAAGTATGGGGATGCATCAGTGTGCAAGATGTAGACCCTGGCCTCAGAGAGTCTATTGTCTAGTGAACAAAATAAACGAGTTTTGGGGAAAAAAACAACTCATGGTACAGTAAATATTAAAGTAGGGCTAAATTCCTGCCATGATACAGGTGGAAAGGATAGGAATTGGGGAGTAGCTGGGGACAGGGAGGAAGGATTTCAGGAAGCTTAAAAAAAATCAGAAGCTTAAAATATGAGTAGTAATCTGCCATACAAAGAATATAAAGAAGATTATTACAAGTGAAGTGGACAGTTTGTGCAAAGACACAGGGTGGAGAGATAACCAGGTGCCCTGAGAACACTGCAAACAGTTTTGGCATGACGGGATGCTGGAGGATATATGTTGTGGGGCAGCAGCGCACAGTTGGTGGAGGGGAGATTATTGAAGAAAGACGAGACTTGGAGATGTAGGCAGGAGCCAGAACATGAAGCTATTTTTAAGGCCCTCGTCCTGAGGGAAATAGGGAGCCAATGTAGGGTTTTAAGCAGCGGAGTGTTGTGATCACACTCGTGCTTTAGAAAGATCACTCTGGCTGCAGTGTGGGGAACAGATGGGGAAGGGACAACATTAGAATCAGGGAAAGCACTTATTACTACAGCAATAGTAAGAGCAATTTCTGTAATGGTTTCTTTAGATACGGTAGATACCATAGGTAGATACTGAGACTGAACAGCCTCAGTGCATTTGACAATGCACACTTCATTAATTTTCAGTCTTCAAATGTTTTCAATAGCTCAGGGTGCCTGATGCATTAAGTGATTGCATGGGGCAAAGATCCTGTGAGATAGTAAAGCACTACTGTATCCTATTATACAACACCCTGAGCCCAATTCATCACCCTAAATAATAAGGCCAAATATGCTATTACCTAAAATAAATTCGATCATGATTTTGCCTTTGTATCTTCATATTTTCAAAAATTCATATTTTCCATTTCAATTTGTCTGTATAAACTAATGACTTTTATGCATTCTTGGCTTTCTTCTCTGAAAAATATCACTTGATCTACAAATTCCCAGTAACTAATCCCTCTGATGAGTAACTTCAAATCAGGTATCAGTAGGATCAATATGCATTCTAGTGGCGTTTCTATAACATGTCAATGGAAATGCATTATTAGCAAATTGTAGCATAACAGTTTCTATTCTATTCTATTCTATTATTCTATTATTAAAATGTTTTAGGAATTAATTTCTAGGATATAATATTAAATGGGGAACATGTTGGTTCCCTTGTGGCTATAAAATTTATTCAGAAATATGTATAATAGTAAGAATTATAATTTATATATTTTTTATTATATTTTATCTCATAAGTATGACAGAGTAATGCATGCATTATTTATCTAGAATGTTGAGAATATGTTCCACATACGAGAATTTTCCAGGTATTAGATCCACAGAATTCTCGCCATTTACAATAGAAATATGTCTAAAATGTGTTAATTATGTCTGCTTTCTTAAGCAAACTATACCAAATACAATAAGCTCTCCTTAATAATTAAGGTTCATAATTTAAAACAAGGTAGGCATACTTACTGTTGCTATTCCTTTTGCTAGTAAGTGCCTATGGATCGTTGCTCATTGCCAGATCTTTAAGGGCTTAATAGAGTGGCTAGAAACAGAAGGCATTCAATAATATTTATTGCAAGGAAGGTCTCAGATGTTATTCTAAAGAACCAAAAGCATACTGGTCTTCTTATAATTCTTTATTGGTTGGTTTGCTGTGATTTGCTGCCATGTTTTTTTATTTTGTTTTTAATTTTTTTCCTTTTTGCTTTTTAACACCTAAAAGTGTGTTAGGATAGTTCCACAGATGCTGCACAGAAAAGTGCAAGGGCTTTGTGATAGTTACTTGCTTCTTAAAAGTACGTTTTAATTTATACCTCAATTTACAGCTATATTTCAAACTAGCAAGAAGTCTAAGTTTGGGACAGGCACGGTGGCTCACACCTGTAATCCCAACACTTTGGGAGGCCAAGGCAGGCAGATCACCTGAGATCAGGAGTTCCAGACCAGCCTGGCCAACATGGTGAAATCCCGTCTCTACTAAAAATACAAAAATTAGCTGGGCATGGTGTGCATGCCTGTAATCCCAGTTACTCAGGAGGCTGAGACAGGAGAATTGCTTGAGCCCGGGAGGCGGAGGTTGTGGTGAGCCGAGATCATGCCACTTCACTCCAGCCTGGGCGACAGGGTAAGACTCCATCTCAAAACCAAAAAAAAAAAAAAAAGAAGAAGTCTAAGTTTGAGTAAGTGGGGAACTTCTGTAATAAAGATAGTAGAATTTTCATTATTGCTGAGATGGTGTGCCTTTGGTCAAACATCCAATGTGCATGTATACAGAAATTACGGCTGTATTCTATGGACTAGTAACCTTGACTTGGCAACAAGACCACTGTAGTCCATTTTTAGAGTTTGATTGAGAACTCTGTAACCTCTCCGTCTTTGCACACAATTCTGGAGGTAAAAAGCACTACATCTACAGAAGAAAAAAACTGACGTGAGCCCAAGTTTTCTGATTCCTACTCCACTATTCTCATTCCTCTAAATAAGAAAATTCTTTTCTTGATACAATAATTAAGTCACTTTCTTCATCAAAACATTTTGCCTTTTAGTCATTTTATGATTTAACATTATTTCTATTTGACTTTGTAATACTTGCTTATAACTATTCTTATCTACATCCTTAATTATTTCCTCTGCTTCAATAACCTGTGTCTGCTGGATCTTTCTCTTCCTCTAGCCATTTCTTAGTCTTCGTCCTCACCATTCCTGTAGCTACAGAGCGGCCCTTTCCATTCCTGGAAACCTGCTGCTTCCAGCCTTCTAAATCTATCTTCAAACTAATTTCCACAAGGTAGCCTGCCCTGACTATATCCAAACTGAGGACTTTGTGCTCTGAGAAAATAAATATAAGCAACTGAAATCCTAAAATACCCCTAAAAACAATAGGATACTTTCAGCCTTTATCCCTTCGCATGTAAGCTCCACTGCCAGCAGGGCATCTGTACACAAGGAGGCAGAAGTTTAGAGAACAGGCTTTGGTGTGTGCTAGACTTAGCATCAAAGTTGCAATTCCTCCACTTAGCAGCTGTGTGCCCTAAGTCAGTGGTCCCCAGCCTTTTTGGCATCAATGACTGGTTTCATGGAAAACAATTTTTCCACGGACCAGGGTAGGGGGTGTGGGGATGATTCGACTGCATTCCATTTATTGGGCAGTTTATTTCTATTATTATTACACTGTAACATATAATGAAATAATTATAACACTCACCATAATGTAGAATCAGTGGGAGCCTTGAGCCTGCTTTCCTGCAACTAGACAGTTCCATCAGGGGGTGACGGGAGACAGTGACAGATCATCAAGCATTAGATTCTCATAAGGAGTGCACAACCTAGATCCCTCACATGCGCAGTTTACAATACGGTTAGCGCCCCATGGGAATCCAATGATGCTGCTGCTCCGACAGGAGATGGAGGTCAGGTGACCCCGAGTTGGGAACTCCTGCTCTAAGTAAGTCACATAACCTACGACTCAGTTTTCTTGAATGAAAAATAAGGTTAATAACAGTACCTCTCCTCATAGGACTATGAGGATATTACATATAAAATACTGTTAGTACAGCACTGACATATAGTAAGTTAAAAAATATTAATTAGTACGTATTATTACTATTGTTATCCTTATTATTTCCTAGAAGATGACTACTCAAACTGAAACAATCAATATAATTATCTCAAAGACAGCCTTGAGGAAAGAATAAAAATTTTCCTCAATTTCCTGACATAAGCTACACAGGGGGAGGTAGCATTGGCCAGCGTTGCACACACAGGGCTGGGCCTCAGCCCTGGCTCCACCATGTGCTAGCTGTGTCACGTCAAGGCGGAACCTCATCTCAATCTAAGCCTCTGTTTTCTCATTAATAAAATGATATTATCAGGATTATGTGGGAAGCTCCACATGAGGCAACCGGCAACGTCCAGCCCAGATCACCATTTGAAAGGTTCCTAATTGTCTAAATCCAGTTAACAGATCGGCATCTAGTTATTTAACTGTCAAATTTATTTTCAACAACTCTTCAACATATAACGGCAAAGATGGGAGAGTAAGATATAGAAGAACTTATTATAATGTGATGCTGGTATATTTAATCACTCATCTGCTCTTCAAGTAATGGCCAGTAAGTGGTAGCTTCCTCTCTCTTCCTCCTCCTCCTCAAAGTGGCGATTCTTCAGAAAAAGACTAATCAATATGAGTCCTGGCTACTGCCTCCAAAATTCAAGAAAAAGATGACATGATTTTCTTGTTTTAATAAAATGGTTCCCATTTTTGTAGAAACAATTCAGGGTTTAAGCTCATGAGAATCTAACTTCATCTCTGCTGGGCATTGTGGGAAAGCTGGAAAACTGAGTAACAAACGTCTAGGGCTGTGACGTCTGGAGTGGCAGCCACTGGCCACGTGGGGTTAGTAAGCACTTGAAATATGGCTAGGTTGGATCAAGACATGCTGTAAGTGCAAAATACACAAAGGGGTGTGAAGACTTAGGAAAAAAATTTAAAATACGTCATTAATAATGTGTTATATAAATCACATGTTGAAATACTATTTTCTATACATTGGGTTAAATAAATTATGTTATTAAAACTAATTTCACCTGTTTCCTTTTGCTTTTTTTTTTTTTTTTTAATTGAGACAGAGTTTTGCTTGTTGCCCAGCTCACCGCAACCTCCGCCTCCCGGGTTCAAGCGATTATCCTGTCTCAGCCTCCTGAGCAGCTGTGACTACAGGTGTGCGCCATCATGCCTGGCTAATTTTTTTGTATTTTTAGTTGAGACAAGGTTTCCCGATGTTGGCTAGGCTGGTCTCAAACTCCTGACCTCAAATGATCTGCCCACCTCGGCCTCCTAAAGTGTTGGGATTGCAGACATGAGCTACCGCGCCCAGCCTCCTTTTACTTTTTAAAATGTGGTTATTTGAAAATTTTAAATGACATGTGTGGTTTACATTTTGTGGCTCCCTCTGTATTTCTATTGGACAGCACTGGTCTGAGTGCCACTCCTTTGTCTACCACCCTATAGCAAAGCAGCATTTTAAATCCTGATTCCACAAATAAAAATAACCAGGTGCCCAAAACTACTAAACGTAAGTGCCTCATGAAGATATCAAAACTCATAATTTTCAAAAACTATTAAAATGACCTTTTTTAACCTTGATAAGTTTCTCATTTAATTCAGCCACTCACCTATGATTTGAAAGGAGAAACAAAGGAGAAGAATTCTGATAGAACACTAAGAACAACCGAAGCTGAAGTAGTCACCATAGTATACCAAAATGATCCCCTTCATTTTTTTTTTTTTGTAAATCAGATTTGGTTTGAGGCAACTCCCAAAAAACATATTCACATTTAAAATTAAATTACAAAGTATTATGAAAAAGTTAATCCATACAGCCAAGCTGGCAAATTATTTTTAAAATGTTCAGTTATGTACCTGGGTCACAGACTCCTTCCTAATAAGTGAATGTAAATAAAATTGGAAAATCTTCATCATTGGATAGTGTTTCTATAATTTTTAAATGGCAAATAGACATGGATTTCTTTACTCAATCTCTAGTAATCATCCTTATATCATTCATTACTTGTTTCTAGTAAGAAACGACTAGTTTCAAAGTTCATCAAGAGGACCTTGCAGTCATATTAGCTTGTCAATCAATGTGTCAGCCAGTTTAGTAAGCTATCCCACTGCCTGGGGATTTAATCTGTTGCCTTTGTAGTTTTCGCTTATTCCCAAACATTTTCTGCACCTTGAGGAATACAAATAAGCCAGTGAATGGTTTCAAACTTTAATAAAAATTGCTGGAGTTGATTTATTGAAGGAAATGTAATTTGAGAACCCAGAAAGCAGGGCAGGTGGGAAAGCTAGGAGCACACATAGTAAGTCTTCATGAGAATCACAATTCCAGTCGTTATCATTACAAGATGGTTATTTATAGAAAACCTCACCAGTAGAAACTGCTTGACATAATTATAAATTATAGGCACCTCCAAGTGTATTTACAGAAAAATTAGCACATTATGAGTGCTAAACTTCCCGACTTCCAGAGCTTATTGCCCATGAGTTGCTCCATTTCTTCCTAACACAGGAAAGAATACACATAAAAGGGAGGAATATTGCCATATCATGGGTTGAAGGAAAATAAAATCTAGTGCAGTCTGACTTAGTGGCCCATACTTCAAATTTGTGCCAATAATTCCTGGCAGGAGATTGCCTAAAACGTTTATACAGGAGAGCATCCACAATAACATCTTATTCTATGAAATCTCATTCAGAGTCATGCTTTAAAAGGTGTCTAACTTCAATGAACTGACTGGCAATCTAGTTATGTAATTGTCAAATTTGTTTTCTAGAATAAACACATAATTTAAAATAAATAGAATTATCACATAAAGGCAAAGTTGGGACAGTAAGATATGGAAGAACTTGGAACGTGACTCTGGCACAGCTAACTGTCCAGCTACTCTTGAAGTCTGGTCAAAGATGCTTCCCCACCCCACACCCCCATTTTAGAGAAATGACTAAATGAAAATTGAAAGTTACCAACCTATCTACTCTTTCCATGAACTGTGTGTGTTCTAATGAAAGTGAAGTTGCGGGGCAGGGTGGGATGGAGTAGGGTGTTGCAGAGGCACTGATGAGATACAATAACGAATAATCCCCATATGATAGTTTTCAGCAGTCCTACTACAAATTAGTTTAGTTCAGTTTTTCCCCAAGTGTATTCCTAAAAACGTGATTCCTGGAAGATGTGTGGAGATTTGATAGAAAAGCTTCCATAAGTCATATAAATTTCGGAAACACTGAAAACTAAATTCCTTTCTAAGAGAGTCACAGTGTGCACTAACATATTAAAAACGCTGAGAAGCCCTACTGTCAAGAAACCTGGTTTAGCCTGTTGAATACAACTTTCCAAAAGGAACTGGTGACAGAAGTTATTTTTCACAACATCCACCATCAGAGGCAATATAGTGTAATGGATAAAATCGTAGTCGGGAGCCTAGCTGCCTAGGCTTCAGTGCCTACGCCACCACTTAGCAGTGCTGTGACTTGGGTCAAGGTACTAACCTCTGAATACCTCAGTTTTCTTATCTGTAAAATGGGGCTTATGGCAGAATCTACCTGGTAGGGTTATGTGGGGATTAAGTGAATATGCCTATTACAGGGTAAGCAGCGTTTATGCGGGAGGTTATCTTTACTACCACTCCCAGAGGTAGTTCCAAGAAACGGGCTGAGTGCCATGGCTCATGCCTGCAATCCCAGCACTTTGGGAGGCCGAGGCAGGTGATCGCTTGAGCCTAGTCAGGAGCTTGAGATCAGTCTGGCCAATATGGTGAAATCTCGTCTCTACTAAAATTACAAAAATTAGCCGAGTGTGATGGTGCACGCCTGTAATCCTGGCTACTCGGGAGGCTGAGGCAGGAGAATCACTTGAACCCGGGAGGCGGAGGTTGCAGTAAGCTGAGATCACGCCACTGCACTCTAGCCTGGGCGACAGAGTGAGACTCCAGCAATAAATAAATAAATAAATAAATAATAATTAAAAAAAGTTCTAAGAAGTGAACTTCGTAATTACTGTTTGCAAGCTAAAGAACCTTTGTGTTTTGTTTGTTTCAAGAACCAGTAACCGTGTGCCAAAATCCAAAAATAATTTTTTTTTCCTTTCCAAAACAGGCTGTGAAAGACTTGCACTGAAGGGTTTTAATGGGGTTTCTCAGACAAGTCATATCATCAATGAGAACAAAGAAGTATAATGTGGGATGCAGGAAGAGCACTAGACTTAGAGAAAGGAAACTTAGACTCTACTTTTTGCTGTCACTCAACCACCGTTGGTATTAGGAAAATCACTTAGCTTCTCTCAACATTCTCACACATTATAAGTGTTGAGCTAGATGAGAGTTTCATCAATTCATTTAAGATGATCATGAGTCACAGAAAGTTTATAAATTTATATACTATTTTCTAGATTTTACACACACACGTATGTGTATATGTAATTACATAAACCTTGTCTGGTAGGTTGCAGGATACTTGTGGAAAAGGATCATGGGCTCTTTATTTTGAAAATTTACATAGTGCCTAGTGCAGCTAGAACAGAACATGTGCTCAATAAATGTTGACTGAATACCTGCTTAGCAGCAATCAACTTGTTATCCCTTCATTCAAAAAAATTAAAGACTCATATCACAAAAGACACTTTACTAGGTACAACTAAATTTACATATTTCTGGGAAGCTATTGGTTCTACCTATAAGAAGTTTACAATTTAATTTGTGATATGACTATCAAATGATGACACTGATTGTTGCAGTTTCTTTTTACTGTCTTTCAATTTGAACCCCGTAGTTCAAGTGAGTTTTATGTTATTATTTTAAAAAGCAGCACCATGCTAGTAGCATTATTATATAAATAAATTTGGTAATTATGATGGAAGAGATGGCAAAATCAGTACACTATAATCAAAGCAAGGATACTCCAATCGATTTTATATAAAATTTTAGATTAATAAGAAGTTATTAGATAAAAATTCCTTAACAAGTGGGAGAAAAAAGTACATTTTGCAGATGACTTTAAAATACAGGTCATCAACTTCCTTTTACTAGAAGAAATCACTAACCATTTTTCCTTCAAAATATAGTTGTATATTGCCTCATCCAGATTAAAAAAAAAGAGACCAAAATTGATGATCTTGATATACAGCACAGGAGTAAATCAACATCTTCTATAACTGTTAATCTGATTTCAATTCTTTATATTTACTGACAAAAGCATGCCACGAATCACAGACATTCTCTCTAAACTCAAAACATCCAGCCTTAATCAAACGTAATCTATTTGATCCAGGCAGTTCTGAGAAAAGGAATGTCAATACAGTACTCATTTACTTTGTGTGTTTAATCTCTGTGAGCAGTGTGCAGAAACTTTTGTGGATTATTTACGAGATCTTTAAAACCTCAAAATAATTGTGCATTGTCATCATTTTTCCCGGTGATAGCTTCTTAATAGCTCCTCCTCTATTGGCGTCTCTTTGTCAGAAATGTAATGTAGTAAAATTTTCAAGGAAAACTGTGGTAGACAAGGGCCCACATAAGTGGTATGTATGAATTGACCACACAGAGTATTAGCAGGGCTATCTCTGGTTTGCAGTGGAGAAAGTTACATTTTAATAGGTCTTAGAAAACAAGAAAGTCCTCATTTCTTGCTCCACTGTATGCGTACTGTTCCTTTTGTAAATTGTACTTGGGTTTGCAGGTGTCTGCCCAAAGGCAGGTCACTGAAAGTCAATGAAAATCAGGTCAACCTCAGCAGCAGAAATTAACCTGCAGATTGTGGCCAGCAAATGTGTATTTTAAAGAGCATTATTCCTACTGAAACAATCAAACCGGACTTCACAAAATGAACAGAGATCCAAAACAACAAAAGCAACCAACGGCATCTATTCTAACATTGCAAATTTCTTAGATATTACAGATGTCACCCAACAGTGCATGCATTTGCTTTCCATATGTGAACAAAACTGAGGCATCACAAGATAAATTTGAATGGAACGTTAACCTTCACTTTAAATTTTTTTCTTTTCCTAGCTGACGACATAATTTTAGTATTATCATAATGGAGCTTCTGGCTGGAAAAAATTAAATTAATGGATGGATTTAAAAAAGCTTAGAAACTTAAAAAAATAAACAACTTTCAAATATCTATACTGGATGGTGTCAAGAGCCAAGATGAATGTATTTCAATCGCAACTTCCAAACTAAACTCACAAATTACTACCATTATGCTAAGTGTTAGCTACCCCACTGTGCAGTTTTGCTTTGTGAATTTTTACCTTCCTCTATGAACACTTTTAGCCACTGATCGCACAGCCTTTCAATGTTTTCTGCCTTTTCCTTTAAATAAACTGGCTCTGGCTCCTTCCATCTGGTTCCCCTTCCGTCAGCAACCCTGCACCTGTTCACACCTCCTCTCCTGTTGGATTCCACTGAACATTTCCTCCTCTGCCAGGGCTATTCTGGCACTCGCAACCTTTCTGTCATTCAATCCATCTGTCAGAAGTGAACTTTGTTTACCGCAAGCTTCTGCTTTCTTCTTCAAGAAGCAAAGCCCCTCAAGGTCATTGTCAAATGAACTGTCGGCATGGATTTAAATCCTCTACTGCTAACCAGCAGAAGATGAAGTTCTGTTGTGTAATGTACTTGTGAAAATTACTTTTGGGTTCAGGAAGACAATAATTTGGAGTCAAAGTAGTAAGACATGGTGTTTTAATGATCATTTGTAAAACCAGACAGCTGATATGTATTTTCTTCATGTGTGTCTGCACTTCTCATTATACTGAGTATGAACTATATGTCTAAGAAGCAAAATAAAAGTTTTAAAGTGAAATCAAAATATCATAAACAAGTTTACACTATATAAAAATTGCATCATACTATATAGCATTAACTTGAGGAATAAATATTTTCACTAATGAATTAGCCAAGGGAGAGAGTATTCCAATTAAGAAATTTTACACTGAAAGGCTTAAAATGTACAAATATGTACCATTTCAATTATAAGCTATATATTAACACACAGCTCCATTACTGCTTTGAAAAACTTAACCCATAATATACAAATCAATGCATGTATATTATAAATTCCATCATTTAAAAAACAAAGTTCTGTTTCACTAATGTTCAAATATATGCTGCCAAGCAAACACATAATCTATCTAAAGAAATGTAAGTTGTATCAATAGTCTAGTTCTGTGAAAAAAATAAACTCATAGAAATTAGGTGAAAATTATACTCTCAATTGAATTTATTTTGTGGCATCTATAGCTATCAAGTATTTACTCTCCCTTCATAAATCAGACATGAAATCACTCTATGTTGAATTATTTACTGGTATTTTAGATATCATATTCTTTAGGAAAAGGGCAAACCAATGACTCAATTCAAATTTCTTATAAGAAAATGGAAGATCATTTTTTAGGAGAAAATATATGGCAAAAAAGTAACACTGTTACAAATGTGAACTTAAACGTGAACCTAAATGGCACTTCATTCATAAGGCTGCTTTTATATTTTGAAGGATTATCCCAAAATTTAATCTTATGGCAGATGCTTGTATCAAGTAAAATCAATCAAGTCTGTAAAATTTTCTAAATTTTTAGAAAAAATAAAAATTAAATATTTCTTATTGATATAAAATTGAATGTCAAATTTATTAACAAAAGCAGTGGAGAAAACGTGGAATTTAAAATTTAAATCTTAAAGTTCTGACTGATTAAACAGTTATAATTTATGAAAAGGATTTTATCAAAGCAGTTTTTCAGACATATTTTTAAAAATTGTGAGGCTAAATTAAAAACAGAAACAAAATCAAAAAGATAGGTTAAAATCTAAGTACTGAGACATGCTTCTTAGCTATAATTTCAATTTTATTGCTGACCTTCAAAATACCCAGTGTCATATAAATCATTCTCATGTAATATATAATGTAATTTAATGTATGGATTTTCTACTCAAAATATGAATTCTAGGAGGTGTTTTCTTCTTCATCTTCCTAAAACATCCTTTCTAAATAATTTCTCTTCATGTGGAGGAAATTTCAAAAATATTGATTAAGTTTTCCCAGCAAGTTTGTTACTGCTTTTCTGGATATTTTTCCTTTAGTGTAATCTGTGCTTGACAGTACTTTGGTCACCTGGATCCCTGCTTCTGAATAGCAGTGAAACAATCCTGGTAATTTGATCACTTCCATGGTCTGATTTGCTGTATAAAAGAAAGAAGCATTTGCAAGATGCTAGTTTAATAGAGGCTGCTTAAATCACCGTGAAGGAACTCTTCACTCTGAGTAAACTGCGTTTCAAAAACACACTAGTAGCCTTCTTTTGGATAATTTGTATGATACGAACATAAACAAATGAAAAGCACTCAGTTTTAACATCACTTCCAGTCACACACAGACACGTAAATGCGATACACACATACACTTTTCCATAAACACGCAAGAAAAAGAAACGGGAAACGAAATCATTACTTTTATAAATGGACTAATTCAGGAACTCAGAGAACACCGTTAATATTTACCTGCTTAATGCGTCATTGCTTATCTTATCTTTCAAACAGAAAAACTAGGAAAAAGTTTAGATAGTTTGATACTAACACCTGAAACACAAATTTTACAGGGGAAAAAAAAAAAACAGAAAAAGAGGCATTGAAGCAATGTTGCCAGGTTACACTACCGAAGAGTAAAGCCGTTTCTAAGGGCGCTGCTAGGTGAAGGCGAAGAGCTGATGTCACTCACATTCTTTAATAATCAGTTTTCCTAAAACAGCATATGGACGTAGGATGGAAGGTAAAATATTTAAACTCCTTAATAAAGAACTGACCTTAATTTATCTACATTCTGAATGAGACTTGCAGTTCTGTTTTTCTAAGAACTGTAAATGATGAAAATACTGTAATTTTCTCTGGTTTATTTGTTTTTCTGCCTATATATTTATGAAGTCTTTTAACGACAGAGGATATTCATTTTTCCACCCCCTTCCTCAATTACCTTAAGGCAAGACCTTCTTTCAGATGTGGAAATATTTTCAGGGCTGCAGGACAAAGAACTGGGATATTTTCATAGAGTTGATCAAGGGGGAAAATGAATTTGCGAGATTCTGTTAAGAGTAAGAAGAGACTAAATGACAACTTTAAATCTGCCACAATCATTTACTAATGTGCTGCTATATCAAATAAGTCTAATTTTTTGACAGCACCAAATTAGATTTATTGCAGAAACTGCTGCATAAATAGCATATGGCTATGTTATACCACCTATTTCAAATCCTGTAATGTTTCCCCCTCCCCCTCCAAAATGAATAAATTGAGCCAAGTTATAAACCTTCTGCAAAAAAAAGAAATAGACAAGTTCAAAAGCAGATGTAGGAGATCTGGATTTCTTTGTTAAAGTCGTCGTTTTAATACAAACGTCCCAACTCTATACTTCAAGAACCACGACTACTTAATAAGTTATCAAATTTTAACAGGTCAGTTTTCTCTTTTATTTGCAGAATGAGTTGGTTTGATTTTTGTCTTAAGGTTTTTGGCTCTGAATTATGCTTATATTTTGATGTTCAACCCACAGTTACATGGGGGAAAAAAGAAGGGCAAGTGACTCTGAATCAAACACAGCTTAAATGAGCTTATGAAAAATTATTAAGTAGAAATGCCTGTATCACATGGTTGCTTTTAGTTTTTCATTTTGTGAAAGACATATGTGGTAGAAAGCATATAAAAAAAATCTTTTCTAATTTTAACTATAGCCTTGATACTGCAAACTTTTTGATGCATAAAATGTATAAAGTGATCATTCCATGTGCCACACTGTATACATTAGATTGCCAGAACCATACAAACAGCAAAAATCAAGGTTCCATGGTAGCTGGAACTGAAAACTCACAGGACAAATTCAGAGATGGACAATTCTTCCTTTCTCAGTCACTATCCCAATGCCCACCCCCACCCTCCAAGTTTGACACAATTCAACTCAATTTTCCTTTTTGAACAAAGTTTCAGTTCTTCTGTAGATGGGAAAGACATTGCAAGGTCTTATCTCAGACCAATGGGCACACCACTGCAAACATCATGGCACTCGGCTACCCCGCAGACTCCCTCTCTGTGGTCAGTCTTCCCAGCTGCCCTATCTGTTACTGTCTGATTAGTTCTGCTAAGGAGCCCCTCCCCTGCCAGCTTTCGGTGCCATCTGTTCTACACAAGATGGCTGCTGCCCAGCAACCTAACACTGCCCTCCTACCTGGCACCCGGCTACCATCCTTACCCCAAAGTGCTAACACAGGTTCTCACTGCTGGCAGAGTCAGGATTTCATTACTACTACTTTGACAAGTGCAGGGTTGTTTGTAATTTCTCTTTTATCCTGATTTTGATTGTACAACCACCTCCCACTGATTCAGTTTGCTTCAGTTTTGTTGCTCACAGATTTTACTCTCCACATTAATCTCCCTCTGGCATGTTACTGCATCTGTTCCCTTTTTTATTATTAATTTTCAAATTCCCACCATTTTTGACAAAAAGGAGGTAATCTACACTCTGTTTCTGCCCATTTCATTTTCTTTAATTTGGAAGATAAGTATGAAAGCATGCCAAAGAAGTTAATTCTCCGTTAACAGTTTATTTGCTGGCATCCCTCAGCCTTTGTACATGAAAAACAGATAGGAATAAATGTTGACTGAATCACAGCAACATAGTCCCAACCATTCCTGCATTTAATGAAAAGCAAACATATGAAACGGCATCTAAAAAGTTGATTAGTTACGTGAGTTGTCGCATGCTGCCATTCTTTTTCCCACTTTTAACAGATAATTCTTTGTGCAAATCAGTTTGAGTGTAGGATCTGAATTTGGGTTCCTCCACAGTTCTGATCTGGGCTCGATTTTCACTGTAGATGGATTTTATTATTCCTTAATATCATTATCATCTTTCCTCAAACCAAACGTTGTTAACTAATTCAATAGTGAATGATTCCGAACAAATGCCTGACTTCGGAAATAGGCTAAGAATAGAGAACTGCCATCACTGTAACAAAGCAGAACTTACAGAGCCCCTAGGGCACAGAGCTGCTTCCATTAGATATTGTTTTGACAAAGAGTTGATATCAGGAATGGCAAGATAGTTTGCCTTCTAAAGACAAAGAGGATCATTTAAGATGTAGAAAGAACAATATATTACTCTGTGCCCCAAATAGCCTTGCCATAAAGAGCTTCAGTCAGGTGGTCATGCCCTTAATTGCTCTAAAGTTTTCTAGACGGATCAATACACTGACTACTCATTAATTTATTTTACCTGAACTCATATTAAAATCATTGGAGTACCTGAATAGATAAGCCTCAGATTTACAAAACGCTGAATGAGTTAAAATGATTTTGCATACTCATATATATCCTCATAAAATCACAGTTAAGGTCTGTAGGAAATCAAGTACAATAGGGGATTTTCCCCAAGGTGACAAAAAATAATCAGAAATAGAACTAGGACGACTGTCAAGCTCAAGCAACGTCCAGCCTGGTGAGCCACACTTCAGATGAGCTACCAGGCAAAGGCCTGGTGAGCCACACTTCAGATGAGCTACTGGGCAAAGGGCAAATCCGGAACACTGCCCAAACCACTGCCCAAACCCACTCTGAATGCTTCACCTTGACCGCCTACCACCCCCACCTCCTGCACACATTCCAATAGTGACTTGCTCTTTATTTTGTTTACCTCTTTTGTTCATATGGTTCTAATGGTTATTTCCTCAACACTGGGTTCATTCTTTTGGTAAATCTCCTGGTCAGGAATAGGCTTCTTGAAGTTAGATACAGGAAAGGTGTCAAAGGGATGCCCTGCTTATTCACTGGTGCCCACCCTGGGGAAGGAATCCCTTTGATATTCTGAAAACCAAGCAGCCTGTGGCTCTCTCTCTCTACCCTCCATGGCTTGGTCAAGGCAGGAGATGCTCAGCCCTATCACAGGTGACCCTGCCTGCTGGGGAGAGGCCACACAGAGCCAAGGTGGAGCACACTCTTAGCTCAGCTAGATGGCAAGCTGCTTCCAAACATTTTCTGACCTGTTTGGTGCCTACTCTCATCTCCCGAGACTGACTGCATCCTTTGCTTGGTGGCTCTAACAGAGTTGCAGCATAATAAAAATGTGTTTACTTGAAGTGGGCCCTGGTCTCCCATGAGACATGGCTTGGGAGAGGGCACTGAGGAGACTGAATATTCCCTAAGCCTCTTACTTGCTCAGGATCCTTAAAATGAGCTTTAATTCCAAGATTTATCAATCAACAAATCACGATGTACTTTGTGGGTATCACGGAAACATTAAATAACAAGGCAGTAATGCCTAACAACTGATGTAAAGAACACATTCACTAGGAGGAGGTGTTTAAGAAGAAACTAAATATCAAAGGCGGGCACAGTGGCACGCACATGTCATCCCAGCTACTTGAAAGGCTCAGGAGGGAGTTCCGCTTGAGCCCAGGAGTTTGAAGCCAGGCTGGGCAATACAGCGAGACTGTGCCTCTAAAAATATATATAAAAGAATGTGAATTAATTTTAGAAATTTACCGGAAGAAATTAAACATCAAGGTGATGGGCTTTTGTTATATTCCTTTTACTTTAAAAATAATATTGGAGAGCAGAACTTTCTTTTAGAGACATACTCTGGCTTAGGGCTACTATGAGAACAATTCTATGTTTTTGCTTTTTCTTTCCTATTTTCATTGAACCTGATGCTCATTGTTGTTGAGTCAGGCAAGTGGTGTGGGCAATACATTCTCGGTTTCCTCTGGGCTTCTTCAGGAAATGAGTTGGCTGCCGCTGCCACCATGCTCCAGGCTGTGGGCCTATGTGGCAGGGGAGATGAGTGCATCCCCAGTGGAGATTTTCATTGCATTCACATTTGGGCTTCACAGAACTGAGAGGAGCGAGCCAGGGAACGTTAAGCAGAACCTGCAAACACACATTTCCTGGCACTGCCTGACTTTCGAACCTCTCCCGCCCCGGGCCACACTGAGACCAGGGTTCTTAGCCCTTCAAACAGGTGGAGCAGAGCAGGCTCAGGCAGTGTGGTGTCCACCAGAGCAAAATGAAATGCCTTTTCTTTTCTGGCTTTCTGACAGCCTGTTTTCTCTGATACTGGGTGGGGGAAGGAAAAGAGGACGCAATTTAAAACAGCACCAAGGCCATCTATTTCAAGCCTTGAAGATGTTGGTTGCACATATATCCATTTAAAATTATTTTTGACACATTCTCTGCTTAATTTATTCATGAAAGGAGTACAAGAAAAAAATGAGCTTAACTTTGAAATGGAAACTTTAGGCTAAAAATTCTTGAATAAAACTCAGGAGGAAAAAAAAGATAAAGTTCACTGTAAAATAGCAAGAATATACATCAATGTTATAATATCCTCTTCAAATAAACAGATAATGAGTTTGGCTTTTTGACCTAAGCTTGTTGTTATCTTAAGATGAGTTCCCCCCAACTTTTTGTTTTAATTTTCCCAATAATAAAGAGCAAAGGGAACTTTACTCAATGTTTATAGAAAATCTGCTAAACACCCAGTGCCTGACTTGGTGCTGGGGGCACAGAGATGAAAGAGACCTGCTTCCTGGTCTGGGTGCTGAGATTTTACAACACCAAAAGTGTTTCTATCTCAGTTTGAAACAAGCTTTTGCCCTTCATCCCCTGCCTACTCTCCTCCCTCCTGGATGCCCAACCTCAAGCTTCCCCTTCGGAGGCTCGGCTTCCTCATCTATAAAGGACTGTTTTTTCTTAGGCTTGCTGGAAGCAGTGAGAAGCATAGCATCTCAAGCTTCTTGTGGTAAATGATCAGCATATTTGTTTTAATTTCTAATCTTTTGCAAATAGTTTTTTAAAACACAATAAAAATGAATTACTAGAAAAAAATTTAAAAGATACTCCCCCAAAAAAAGCTCATTGATCATGCGCTTGAAAATTGTGACAATTTAAAATTGATATAAAATTTGCCAAATACTTCTGTAGATTCCGGTACTTATCTTGCCATAGACACTAACAAGCAGCCATCATGGGCCACAGCTGGAACAGCACTATGCAGAAACCAAGCACAATACATGTGCATGCTAGAGATTTAGCTGTGCTTCTTTCTTTTTATATTCTAAGAGTTTTCTAAGTAAAACAACAAAGAGACCCTGTTGTTGTGAAGAACTGATGATGCCTCTTTGGACTTATCACATGTTGACAATGGAGAATATCATTTTCCAACATACATGGACAAAAATGTGCACTTCACTCCCCTCTCTCCACTTGAAACCATTTCTTAGAGGAAAAATCAGGACTTGCATTTTTATTTATTATTTTTTTTTTGGGGGGGGGAGGGGGGACAGAGTCTCGCTCTGTCGCCCAGGCTGGAGTGCGATGGCAATCAAAGCTCACTGTAGCCTTAAACTCCCAGGCTCAAGCAGTCTTCCCAAGTAGCCAGGACTACAGGCACGCACCACCACGTAGCCTCCCAAATAGCCAGGACTCAGGCACGCACCACCACGTAGCCTCCCAAATAGCCAGGACTCAGGCACGCACCACCACGTAGCTTCCCAAATAGCCAGGACTCAGGCACGCACCACCACGTAGCCTCCCAAATAACCAGGACTCAGGCATGCACCACCATGTAGCCTCCCAAATAGCCAGGACCCAGGCACGCACCACCACGTAGCCTCCCAAGTAGCCAGGACCCAGGCGCGCACCACCATGTAGCCTCCCAAATAGCTAGGACTACAGGCATGCACAACCATGCCTGGCTAATTTTTTAATTTTTTTTTTTTTTTTTTGGTAGAGCTGGGGTCTCATTATGTTGCTCAGACTGGTCTTGACCTCCTGGCCTCAAGTGATCCTCCCACCTTGGCCTCCCAAGGTGCTGGGATTACAGGCATGAGCCATGGCACCTGACCAGGGATTATATTTTTAAAAAGACAACAAGGGCAACAGTGCAGATACTTGGTGTTTTACTCACCCAGGATCCCTGACACCTTTCCCCTAGTAAGAGCACTTCCCCTTACTTAGTGAAACTTTCTTCCCTTATTCCATGTGGTTCTGAAGAGGCTACCAGCCACAGCACCCAAAAGTGCGTGTGTGTGCCCAAGGGTGATCCTAACCAAAGGTTTTGAAATTGGAAGTGAAGGAGCTAGGAAGTCACATTCTTACAGTTTGAAATCAAAGGTATTTCCTTTATCATCAATTTCAGAATGAAAGATGTTTTACTTCATGGTATGAAAGAATCTGAAAGAATTAGCAAAATTCAGATAGAAATTGAGCCCTGTTCTGGAAAGTTAGAATATGATAGCATGCTGGCTCCAGGAAACCCTGAGTCCAGCTGCACCTGGATTGTACATGGTCTAGTTATAAAAATTTATCAATTTCTCCTTTTTGGATTTCAGTTCACCCAAAAAGTCCTGACTCGTATGGATAGGCTGGGAGGTCAAACAATTAATTTCAAGAAAATATCTGTACTAGAGGCCGGGCACAGTGGCTCACACCTGTAATCCTAGCACTTTGGGAGGCTAAGGCAGGCAGATCACCAGAGGTCAGGAGTTTGAGACCAGTCTGGCCAACATGGTGAAACCCCGTCTCTACTAAAAATACAAAAATTAGCCAGGCATGGTGGTGCCTACCTGTAATCCCAGCTACTTGGGAGGGTGAGACACGAGAATTGCTTGGACCTGGGAGGCAGAGGTTGTAGTGAGCCAAGACCACACCACTGCACTGCAGGCTGGGCAACAGAGCAAGACTCTTGCTTCAAATTAAAGAAACAAATAAGTAACTGTACTAGTTACTATGTGGAAACTGAAAGCCCTGGAAAGGCAGCCTCTATCACTCTCCCCACATGATCTATCCATCATAACAGGTTAACCTAGTGACTCCTCTGCTGTACCCTTTTCTCACTTTCAAAAAGACACAAATCCTATAGGTCAAGTTGCTGTCTCTCTAGGTCACAGGTCAGATCTTCCCATCTGGATCACAAAAGTAGGTCACAGTATAATACCTGTTTGGTGGACTCTCACTTAGATTCCTGCTCTGAGAAATTCTTTGAAGTACATACATATTATTAAAAAGATCATTTATGTAAAAGGAGAAATAAGAATTTTTAAGGTTTTGTACTTAGGGCAATCCGAGTTCTAAATTCTCTGGATAATAAACAAAAGAAAGCTTCCTGCAGTAGTTCCCCTCAAGATCAGATACAAGAAAAAAAAAATGCAGGATTTAAAAAAATGTGTTTCAGTACATGGGCAAAAGGTATGGAAAAGAATGTCTCAGTAAGCAGTTAATAAGAATCACATAAACGGTAAGAAGTGGTTGCTTTATTCAGCCATATCGTAAATTAACCCAACCACGTGTGTATAAATGGTAGTCATATGAGCGGCATAAGCCACCGCCCCTGGCCTAAGATGAATACATTCTTAACCTCCGAGGTGATACCTATAGCTCTTTACAGATATTTGGACATGTCAAAAATAAATACTTGAAAAATTTCTACTTTTTAATAAAAGCCTCTCTTTCTTCTTGGGTGAAAATTAAGTAAGGGAGTAAAGTAGAATGACAATGGCATTATAATATGTTTAAATGACAATGGCAAATAATGGGCCAAGGGAAACTATGTTTCTTAGGAAAAATTCAAGCCAAAATTCACCGTCACGTGTCATGCATAAGGGAGCAGCTAACACTTCTTTCCTTTCTTTCTTTCTCTCTCTCTCTCTCTCTCTCACTTTCTTTCTTTTTTGAGATGGAGTCTCGCTCTGTCACCCAGGCTGGAGTGCAGTGGCGCAATCTCGGCTCACTGTAACCTCCACTTCCCGGGTTCAAGAGATTCTCCTGCCTCAGCCTCCTGAGTAGCTGGGACTACGGACGTGTGCCATCATGCCCAGCTAATTTTTTGTATTTTTACTGGAGACGGGTTTTTACCATGTTAGCCAGGATGGTCTTGATCTCCTGACCTCGTGATCCGCCTGTCTCGGCCTCCCAAAGTGCTGGGATTACTCCTGACCTCTCGCGATCTGCCTGCCTTAGCCTCCCAAAGTGCTAGGATTACAGGCGTGAGCCACCGCGCCCGGCCGGAAGAAGCTAACATTTATTTCTATTATAAATTCATGTTACTGATTTTCTAAGTTGTCTTTTTCAGAACAACTGCATTAATCCATTTCTCTAGTAATTTACATAGAATTACAGCTTAATGGATAAGGGTACAAGCTTTGCAGGCAACTTACTGGGGTTCAAAACCTGCTTCGATAACATATCAGCTGTGTAACCTTAGAAGACTCCTTTCCTTCTCTGTGCCTTAGTTGCCTCAGCTGTAAATTACAGAAAATAGGAGTCTGTACCTTATAGAGCTATTGGTAGGATTATATGAGAAGCTCTCAGCTTGGTTCCTGGAACAGCAGGGGCTCAGCAAATGTTAGCCACTGCTGTTAGCTATAACTCTATTATTTTTTAAAGAGCTGCTACATGTAGCGTGGTACCACGCAGATACTAAGACGAATATATTGTTGTTGGTGGTGGTGTTTTTGAGATGGAGCTTCACTCTTGTTGCCCAGTCTGGAGTACAATGGTGCAAACTCAGCTCACTGCAACCTCTGCCTCCCGGGCTCAAGTGATTCTTGAGCCTCGGCCTCCCGAGTAGCTGGGATTACAGGCTTGCAACACCATGCCTGGCTAATTTTGTATTTTTAGTACAGATGGGGTTTCTCCATGTTGGTCAGGCTGGTCTCGAACTCCTGACCTCAGGTGATCCGCCCGCCTCGGCCTCCCAAAGTGCTGGGATTACAGGCATGAGCCACCGTGCCCGGCCTAAGATGAATATATTCTTAACCTCCGAGGTGATACTTGTTAGGTGTCTGTTTGATCGCTGTGTGTACTGTATTTAACTTACTCTTATACATACATGCACACCTCCCAAATACCATCGATTCCCCTACACGGAATGCCCTTCATTCCCATTTTCCTATATCCAAATCCTACCAAAATCAGTAAGAAGTAATCTGTCTCTCCCCCTGTAATCCTTTTCTAGAACCTCCCTTCTGGATCTTATCATTTATCTTACCGACTACATGTGTATGTTCTTTTTCTTACTTTTTTCTTTAAT
Source organism: Homo sapiens (assembly GCF_000001405.40). NCBI lineage: Eukaryota > Metazoa > Chordata > Mammalia > Primates > Hominidae > Homo > Homo sapiens. The sequence continues at coordinate 243,385,393 of NC_000001.11, read as the reverse complement.
TTTAGAGACAAGGTCTTGCTCTGTTGCCCAGGCTGGAGTGCAGCAGTGCCATCACAGCTCACTGCAGCCTTGACCTCCTGGGCTCAAGCCATCCTCCCACCTCAGCCTCCAGAGCAGCTGGGACTATAGGCGCGCACCACCATGCCCAGCTAATGTTTGTATTTTTTGTGGAGATGGGGTTTCGCCACGTTGCCCAGGCTGGTCTCAAACTCCTGGGGCTCAAGTGACCTGCCCGCCTCAGCCTCCCAAAGTCCTGGGATTACAGGTGTGAGCCACCACACCCGATCTACTCATGTATTTTCTTCTCTTCCCCGCTAGCCTGTAAGCTTCTGAAGGGCAGCAGCTGAGGCCTCTTTATCTTTCTATCTCCCTTCATCCCTAGCACAGCGTCTTATGACAGAAAATGCTCCATGTAGAACGGGTGAATAAATGGATGAACATTTTTAAATGTACCTGAAAGTCTGTTATGGAAAAAGAAGAAGTTGTTTGAATAATATTAACAGTAATAACTGGAAGAAAGCAGCCTTGCTTTGTTTTCATACATGCTAGGCTAGACGTGTTTAGTGAACATGCTTACGAGGCACTTGTTTCAAATACTGTCATTTTTTTTTCCCCCAGAGATGCGGTCATGCTATGTTACCCAGGATGGCCTTGAACTCCTGGGCTCAAGCGACCCTCCTACCTCAGCCTCCCAAGTTTCTGGGACTGCAGGTGTGCACCACAGTACATGGCTTCCACTGTCATCTTTTAATTATGCGGAACTCTAGTTTAAGAGTGAGTGTGTGTGTGTGTGTGTGTGTGTGGTTTTTAAACACGTACATGTAAGTGAGAGGCCTGGTGCACTTTACTAAACCTACTTGCATTGTTTGTTAGAATGATTATCATTTGATTCTGATATACTTAAACATATATATTTACACAAAGTTAAAAATTTAAAAAAGTGATTATTACAAAATCATAATATAGTATCATAGAGACAAGTAAAATTCTCAATAAAAAATTTTAGCCTTATCACCTTCTTATACTTTGTACTCTGATATTTGTGAGAAGATATTTATTTGTATAGCAGTACTGAGCTTGAAAGAATAGTCATACATTTGGAATACAGTCACCATTTTCATTAATGACTTACTGAGCTCCAACTCTGCAAAGTGATGAGCCAGGGGCTCTGAGAAATATAATACTGATAAGACCTCTCCTCCTACTTGAAGAATAACACATTCCAGAAGCAAAAAATAGCAAGTACACAAAAAACTTCCAAATATTAATTCTTTTTTTTTCCACATTTTGCTTTTTCCTCCTTTGAGTAATTCATTTACTCAAATGCCATCAGCTCAAAGTGGGAAGAAGGATTCAAGGGGAGAAGCGCTCCTTTCTGACAAGAATCAATGGGGAGGCCTAGGTAGAAAAATCAGGATTTCAGGGAGACCTTGGTAAGAAGGTAAGATTATAATAGAGCTAGAGAAGGTCAGAGGGGTATTCTAGGTATAGAGAACAGCAAATGGAGGGAAAAAGGGGAGCTATGTGTACTGACATTTGTCTGGAAATCAGCAGGTAAGAGGGTTTCATCTTAGATGAAATAAGACTGGAAGGTTGAGAGCCTATCAGGATGACCTCACATGCCATGTTGTCATTTGCCTTTCTCTAATAGAGTGGCACCATGGAAGGTTTTCAGAGTATAGCAACAGAGTCAAGGCAGAGGCTTATGAATATTCACCGGGCAATGGTCAGCAAAAGAGACTGGAAGGGTGTTGAGACAATTTTGATAACCTTTGTGAGAGGTCAGCAGAACCTAAGTTACAATGAATTTAAGTGGTGGGTCTGAAGGTCATTTCAATGAACTTTCTGAAGTTCAAACTAAGGAAATACCTTAAACAAAAGATCATCCAAGCAATTTAAATGCCTAATGTCCAGATATAGGAACTTAATAATGGGTTGTCTTAAATCATTATTAGAATCATTGATTATCAGAACTGGAAGGAAACTTATAAATCATCTAGCCTCACCTCATTTTATAGGTACATAAGCAGGCCCAAAGAGTTAAGTAATTTGTCAAAAGTTGCAAAGAATGCCTGGAGTGAATGCCTACAGAAGATACTATAATTCAGGTTTCTTCAATCCTAGGCTGTCTGGGGACCTCCCCTAAGAAAAGTATATGGTTTTAATTGTTACTGCCCCCTGAAAATACTCTTCGAATCATTCTTCTTTATTCTTTTCTTATATATTCGAAGACCCCATTTCAGTCTTATCGGCTGGTGGCTGTTCTTCCATTGTTCTTTAAAACATGATCCTTTCTATGTGCTTTTAACCACTCCCTTAGCTACAATGAATACCTTTATGTAAAAGGGATCCAGATCTAAGCCTCTAGTCATGACCTTCTCCTCACACCAAGCCAACATTGGACATCTCCACTGGGGTTGCACAATGAAAAGTATTCTTTTCCTCTGCTACCTCTTTTAAGTTCCTCAGTTGGCTTAACAGATCCTCTAGTCAATTTGGGCTAGAAAACTTACAGTCACCTTTAATTGTGTCCTCTCTTATTCATGACTCCAAATACCTTCTGAAGATACTACTTCCTTTCCACTTCACGGGACAGCCACAGCCAAGGGCTTCATTACTCTCCCCCTGGACTATGGTGCTTATATTCTAACTGGGGTCCCTGCCAGTCATCTCTTCTCAACCCATCCATTTTTCACAAAGCTCTTCAATTACCTTCTTTAAATACATATTTGAATCTGTCATTATTCAAGCCCTCTTGACTTCTTACTTGAACTAAACAGCCTCCTGAGGAGTTGGTACACTTTTCTGTAAAGGGACAGATAGTAGATATTTTAGGCTTTGAGGACCATATTCAACTCAAGTGTGGTAGTGCCATACATAATAAATGAAGGATAATGGTAGCATTTTCCAATCAAACTTTATTTATAGATGTATAATCTTTATGTGTCAAAAAATATTGTTTCCCCTTTTTTTCATCCACTTAAAAATATAAAAACCATTCTTAGTTAATGGTCACACAAAAACAGATGATGGGTCAGACTTGACCCATGGGTTGCAATTGCTGACCTTGGGCTAACTGGTCTTCCTGTCTCCTAGATCAACTCTCAAAGCTCACTTTCCACACTGCTCTCTGAGTCCAGCTCCCAACCCAGAAAGTCAATCATGTTGACGCTCCTGCCTAAAATGCATTAAGAGTAACTCAGAATGGGCGAAACTCCGGAGATGGCCCATAAGGCTCTTCTGCTGGTCCCTGCTCCCCTTTCCAGTCTTATCTCCTACCAAACACCTAATCTGATAGTAGAGTTTCTGTTTTCTCCCATCTTTATGTCTCTGTATATATTGGTCTCTCTACCTGGGGTACCCAACCCACTTTCTTCCACTTTCAGAATTCTTACTCATGAACTCACTAATCAAGATTGCTGCCAAATATCTCCACCTCCCTGACTATCCCTTTTCACTGTCAGCTTTCCCTGATATCAGCTTTCTTTGACTATCGCCTTCACCTATGGTGTAGAATGGGCCAATCCCCCTCCCTATGTGCTCCTGTGGTAATCATCACTTTTATCATTGCACTGTTGTCACAGTCTATTACATTTGCATATACAGATGTAGCTTCTTTACTAGAGTATGCGCAATCTAAGGGTAGAAACTGAGTTTTATTTTTTCTCTCTATGCCTAGGACCAAGCAAAGTACTTAAAACATAGTAGGTGCTCAGTAAATATTTGTTGACTAAGTGAATGTTACACTCACCCATTTGGGTCCTTTAATTAATGCTAAATTTCTATTTTCCATTTTTTTTTTTTAGAGACAGGGTCTTACTCTGTCACCCAAGTTGGAGTGTAGCGGCGCAATCACAGCTCACAGCAGGCTTGAACCTCAGAGTTCAAGTGATCCTCCATCCTCAGCCTCCTAAATAGCTGGGTCTATAGGTGCACCACCATGCCTGACTAATATTTTTTGTTTTTTTGTAGAGATGGGGTCTCATTGTGTTGCTCAGGATGATCACGAACTCTTAGCCTCAAGTGATTCCCCTGTCTTGGCCTCCCACAGTGTTGGAATGACAGGTGTGAGCACTGCGCCTGGCCTCTATTTACCGTTTTAAAATCCCATAAGGAGAAACACCAAAAAAGTGGTAGGCTATTTTTCTTTTAGGTTGATGTACAGATCTCTACTACAGTTTTTAAATTTTCTTTGCCTCTAAAGATTTGGATCCTTATTTCATCATTACTTTAAACACGGTTTTCATATTCAATTTTAAACTTTGTTTAGAATATGCCATTTGAAGTGTTTAAGTTGAGACTGTGTGGTAAGGTGTTATCTGCGTGGGAGTTATGTATTTCAGCTGATCTACACTGAAAAAGAACGACACAACATTTCTCAGTCACACACCTGAGTATACTGAATCAATAAAGTATGGTGAGGGGTGGCAAACTTCAAAAAAAAACCAAAAAAACAAAAAAGTACTATATATCAGAAATAGCCCAACAACCAAATCACATTGTCAGTGCAAAGGGGAGATATACACAGTTCCTTGCATTTCTAATTGTCATCTTTAAATTTATGAATGTGGATTTTATAAAACATGAATATAGACTAAGCATAAAATGCTTACAAAAGAGTACCGCACTTAGAAAATAATTTTTATTTCCTGTAAAACTACGTTTAAATTTTAGTAGAATTGGTTTAAATAAAGCTCAACAAAAAAAAAAAGCTTTCTATGGAACCAAGCAAAACCGTTTTTCTTAAGAACAAAGGAATTAGTTACCACTCGTCCATTTTCAGCAGTTGCTGCATCTTAATATGCTCTACTTGCAAGAAATTGATCTTGTCAAACACTATAAATTGATACTATACGGGAAAACTCTCTACGGACTTTGACTTCAGAAATTAACTCTCTGAATAAGACAGAATGGCAAAAGGGGCAAAACCAGCATTAATATTTATTTACTGAAGCTCAGCCACACTGAGACATTAAAAGCTGTCCTATTTCTGAGGTTTAGCAGTGCTTAGCACACAAATGGTTGGTTCTGAATAGAAGTCTGACAGAAAAGAAAAACTATTAACATTACCATGATGAAGCTAAATTCTGAAACTTCTAAGATTAAATAGCCACAGGAATTATGCTAACGTTATGTTCTCAGTTCTACAATGACAATAGTTTAAATGAGCATTAAAAGAACAGTTATTATTCTGCAATATTAAGCAATTTTTTTCTCATATATGTGTTTCATCTATTAGGATTTTTTTCTAGATACCAGACATGTATTAATAATTTATTTTCTTTCTTTGCTTTCTCTTTCTTTCCTCTTTCTTTTATTGTTTAAAAGGGAAGATGTCAAATCATTTGGAATATTATCATAACAAAATGTTTTATACAAGGTTTGATTTTAACAGAACCAGAGGCATCTTAACACTCACCCAAAACTTTGGGAGGTTCACCAACCTCTAGAATATTTTTTTCTCCAAACGCAGGCTGTTCAAGTGGTGCTTTTCTCCATCTGTTAGCATACCGTGCTCAGAATTACATTGTCATATTTAATGTAAAAGGGATCAGTCCCCTTTCATAGTTTAAATTCAACATATTACTATGATTGGAAGACCAATGTTTTTCTAATTTATAAACCAAACCAAATATCATGAACTTACATGTTTATTTAAACAAAGTTCTCTCTAAAAACTGAAAAACTTTAAGAACTGAGCAACCCCAAAGGCTTGATGTGAACACTGCAAAATCGTAATAAAACTCAAAGTGAAAAGAAACCACATATGATAAAGTGAAATATCTACTTTCTCTTTTGAATTTTTCTTTCCATGTGTGTATTTATGTGTGTGTGTATGTGTGTGTATGTTTTTTTCCAATGCAGCAAATTCACAATGCTTACAACCTAAAGAGTCTTACTGTAATTTAGGGCCGAGCTACATATTTACTAAAGTTGATGACAATGATGATCACATCACAAAATCTCATGATGGAAATGAAGTAATTTGAAACCTCAATGGTGTAAGCCTGGTTATAATAATGATTTGAACATGAGCAGTGCCAATCTATTTCATCTCAAAATTTTACACCTCCTTAGGATGCAGATTCCTTATTTTGTATCAGTTCCATTTCAATTTGCATCTTACAATTTATTTACTTTGTCTCTCTCACCACTGACAGTATTTTATTATTTTCCTAAATGAATTCCTCACATCCTTCAGTTCAAGATTTTTATTAGACGTAGAATTAGCAGAAGAGGTAGTAGTGGTGGTAGGAGAAATATGTCATTTCGCTTATATTGATAGAGAATCACCTAAATATTTGAGCATTGTAGATGAAAGGTTTTGTAATCTATCAGTAATTCCCTGCCACACTTATCATTCACATGTCTGGGTGTTTTGCTTACCACATCTCCACTTTTCTTAATATGCCTGAAAGCTAAGTGTGAATTGAATGACTAAGACTAACTCTAACAACTGTTTGGAAGCCTGTGGCAAAAATCAGTGGAATGAAATCGGTGCTATGGCGCATAATGGGATTAGGGAGTACCTGGTGAGGTGCAGTTGGTGCTCAGATTCGCCCAGCAGTTCTGTTAGTCTCAGGCACTCCTCTCTGGCCAGGGCTGCCTTCTGCTGCTCCTGTTCCAAGTGTTGTTTGCTTTCATCCAGTTCTATTCTCAATTTCTCTATTTCCTTAGGTAGAGAGAAGGGGAAAAAGCATCCATATAAAATACATGCACTTGAATTCAAAATTAGCTCATTTTTATTTTTTGCCATGAATTTCAATTTGATAAAAAATTATTAGAAAATTTAGGCTAGCTTCCATTTTATGACAAAAGGAATTAGCACATCCAAAAATGCACATGAATGAGGTTTTATTTTGGATTGTAAAATGAAATCTAATTTTAAAAATGAAATGATTAAATGAGAGTAGTCAAAGTGGATAATTGCACTTTCATTCTAAGAGTCGTTCCCTTTAAAAAGTAATATTTACTTAAAATACCACTGCCTTTAAAAAGTAACATTTTTGTGTGAGATTCAATCAGACACATGCAGTGATTTACATCAAGTATGTACTTTTTATTCTAAAAGATAAATTTATGGCTTCATTTGGGTGTTTCAAAACCCAAATTAAAGGTAAAATAAATAAGAGAGATTTTCGAAAAATGTGAGGTGTAAAAAATGGCATGATTATGATGTTCAATATTACTTGGAAAAAATAATCCAGGAAAAAAAAAAGCATGAGAAATTTAAGCATTGAGAGTGTATGAGATTTCTGAGCTAAAATAATATTTCCATTTAAATTTGCAATTTAAAAAGTCAACAAGAACACTCTAAGACAAATATGAATATATAAAATTTATGAAGGTTTATTTTTTGGTTTCGGGATGAAATTATCCTTATCTTACTGAAACTCAAATATTTCAAAGCAAAAATATCTTATATAGGCCATAATTTTAAATAATTTATATATTAAAGTAGAAATATTTATTTATCAATAGAACATCTGTAAAATTAAGCCAAAGAAAATAAAAGATGAACCTTTAAAAATATTTAGGCTATTAAAACAAGAAAAAAAAAAAGAAAGGGCAGAAACATTTTCAAATTCAGCAGAAAGCAAGAAGCAAATTTGATACAGAAAAAATTGCAACCTCCTTTTGGAAAACAAAATCATGTGTAAGTAGAGGGATTTAAATTTAGTATTTAAATAAACTTCCAAATTTCCTCATGTCCTTATTCAATATTCTGAACAATCTCCAACTACATTTGATACATCATGGAAGATAAATTAAATAATTCATTTACATTTTTTCTTGAATTCATAACAGTATAAATATTCAGTTTATCTCCATCAAAACCATACATTAACCAACAATATAATAACTTAGTACAGTTCTCAAATATTGGCTTATTTGAAAAACTGTGAAATAATTGTATCATTTTCATTCACTGTAGATTTTCTGTATCTTTCAAATTGGAATACTAAGTTAAACTGACTTATTTCTTTAAAATACTGTGTTATTAAAGTTATACCCATATATTTCCAATTTCATAATTAAATATAATTAAAGAGATAAAAATAATAAAGACTATTAAATTTGTATTGTTTAACATTTATAAAATTAACAAAAGCAAAGAAATACAGAATTGGAATTATAGGTTAACTTTAAAACTTCAAAAATTTATTCATTAATTTTCTTACACAGTCCTATATGTAAGAAACTATACTAAATAATATGATGAATTCAGAGTTCCCATCTCTAAACTCAGTAGTTAATAATTCATCTGGGTAAATGAGACATAGATACACAAGAAGACTATCAAAATGCAAAGCATATAAAAACACCAACTGAGTTATAGAGAAAATTCATGCCTCAGTAGCCAGATGAGGGATATATTAGCATGAGCAAGAAAAGTGAGAAAGAAGTAAGGGCACAAAAGCTCCGGAGTGATACTTTAGATCACATTATGAAAGCTCTTTAATTGTAGATTAATAACGCTACATTTTTCTTATAGATAATAGGGTGACATTAATGGTTTAAACAGGTATGCAATATGACAGAGGTTGAGCTTGAGAAAACTGGATCAATGTGTACAATCAGTTTAAGGTGGCAAAGAATGGCGGAAGGGAGACCATGAAAAGATAATTGCAGTATTCCAGACATGAGGAGTGGAGGGACTTAAAACAGAAATATAAAGAGAAAATGGTGATTTTATGGAAATAAAAGGAGAGGAATCAGAAGACCAAAGATTACTCCGGAATTTTGAATTGAGAGAAGACAAAAGAATGACAGAATAGAAAATGTATAAAATTCAAAACTTTTTTAAAAAGAAAAGATACAATTTTTGTAAGCACTATGCAACAATAACAACATATGTACCTTACACTGGTAATTAGGTTTTAAGTACAAATTAGCTGCTTTCTTTTCCTCATGTAATAAAAAGTCAAGGGTTGCGTTGCCAAAACAGTCCAAACACAGAGGTAAAGAACATGGGTCTAACAGCCAACGCAAATCAGGGCTCCAGACACAGCTCTGGCACTTTTCTGTGACCTTGGACAAGTCATTAGACTATCATACAGTTTCTTCCTCCTAAAATCGGAGTGATAACAAGCTTCTAAAGCTGTTGTGAAGATTAAATTAGGCTAGGAATACTTAGCAGAGTGCCTAGCACATAGTAAAATCTGACTAAAAGACAGCAAATATCATTATTACTGATTTTTCCCTCTGTCTTTCAAGAACAGCAAAGTGACAAGAAAAAATGACCCACCTAAGAATATATGACTATCTCTAAAGAGTTCTCAATTTAATTCATAAAAGTTCCCCCTTCTCAATGAAGCAGTATTTTGGTGAAAACTGAATAAAACTTCATCTATTGTAATTTCAAAATGTGAAATGCATTTTTGTTAGGAAGATGGAAAATTACTGCCTGCTTCTGATTATCCATGCCAGTGAAAGAGCTTATTGGTGCAGATAATCAAAATCAACAAATAATCTAACCAGCTGGACCAGGGCTCAACACTTACTCCCTGAGTCAGGAAAATCTGCCATGGCACCAAGTCCAACCGTTAGAAGAGAAATCTCTTGCCAGAAATGCCATGCTCCCACTGGCAGGATAACCCTTTGCCTCACCCAACTAGGTCAGGGCTGCTTCCCTGGCTGTATATAGTAGCTTGGGGATGAAAGACCAACAACAGCCATAGGCCAATTGTACATTACTCTCAAAGCACACTATTAACCTGCATGTCTACAGTGCAGTTTGATGTGGCCATCTTTTGGCTAACTGGGCAAAGGCAGGTCCAGATAGCTTTACACCTTATCAAAAGGTATCTTTCAAGTCATGACTATAACCACCAGAACAACTCAAAGTAGAAACTGTTAAAAGTGGTCACTGCAAGAAAACAGTACTGGGGATCGAATTTGGAAAAGGGAGACTTGATGCTGTTCATTTATATCCCTCCACACTGTAGGAAGTTTTTTTCTTAATCATGGGCATATGTTAACTTTCTTTTTATTGTTGATTAAATTTGCCCATCAAAGTAATGCACCTAATTTAAGTTACATAGTATTAAATGGCTCATAACAAGGAACAGCAGTGCCCATGGTCTACCTCCCCGATTTCAAACCTAATCTCCAATGGCATGCACCATTAGTTCTTCTGATGTTTATCTTCACATTTTTAAAAGACAAACTTATACTGCTATTTCTTAAGTTTTCAATATTAGACCTTTCTTACGTGAAGAAGGGTGACAATTTAGGTCTCGCACCACCCACCCTACATACCCACCTCATGCTCCCATATAATGATTTTGGTTAAAGCATTAGTCAGTAGTTCATTTACATTATAATGATTATGAAAAATTTGCTCACTGCTGAGACAAGCATTATCTTGTTTAAATTAATTTTCTTATGTATCATTTTATTATTTCTAGAATTGTCTAGTTTTTTAATAGTTTGTTTTTCTAGATAACTGACATTTTCCCCCAAATATTCAAACATATCTGTTAAACAATCATCAATAATTTTTTTTAAATGAACATATTAGATAAAGTGTATGTTCTTTTAAGAACTGGATATATCCTTCTTGGCACCTTATGTATGGCCTGGTTGATCTCTATCTTCTGTCAAGCCTTCCCTATGCTCTTTTAGGGTTCTCTGTTTTCTGTGTCATAAGTCATCATGTTTCTCAATTTATTCCCTTTTTTGGTCGAAGTACAATCTCCAGGTAGCTTTAATAAGAAAAGGTACACGAAAAACACATTTTCGAGTATTCGCCTGCCTGAAAATGCTATTATTGTATGTGTACACTTGATTGTTTGGCTGGGTATAAAACTCTATTTTGAAATTAGTTTTCATTCAGGATTTTTAAGAACTATTCCACTGTCTTCTAGATCCTAATAGTACAACTGAAAATCCCTAGGCCATCCTGATTCTTAGTACTTGGTCTATGATTTACATTTTTTTCTTTCTGGAAACTTTTACAGTCATCTCTTTTTCCTTGTCATTTTGAAATTTTGCAATGCTGAATCTTGGAATGGAGCTGTTTTTCATTCCTTGTGCGCAGTTTTCAGTGAGTCCTTTTCAATCTGAAGGCTTATTTTTTTCAGTTTGAGGATGTTTTCTTCTACTATTTTAAAATATTTTAATGCCATACACTTTAGCTCCAGGACATTAGTTGTTGGATTGATTATCTCATTTTCTTATATTTTCCATCTCTGTCTTCTGATTGTAACTTCTGGAAGATTTCTTTGACTGATGACACCTCATTTTGAACGTTAAGAAAATTTTCTACCCATTTTGTATTTCTATGAGCTATTTCTTGTTTTTACGGACACTTTTTTACATAGCATGCTAATTTTAATCTATGAATATAATATTTTACCTATTAGAATATACAGTATTTAAATGTTTTCCTTTGCTTATTATATGTTGCCTCAGTTTCCTCCACATTCCTTTCTTGTTTGTCTGATTTGGACTTTCCATTATGTTGTAGGTTTTCCTCAAATACAGGATAATACTTGGCTATCCTTTTATATTTAAGAATGAGGCAGTTAATAAACGTGTGGGTTTAATAAGTTTTGGGGTAATATGATAGTTTATTTAGACTGTTGTTCAGCAAATATTCACTCCCATCTCCCTTCCACTGAGAGTGGAATACCTTATGTCTCCCCAGGGACTTTGGGCTTAGCCATATAATTTCATTTGGCCAGTGGAATTTGCATGGCTATAATGTAAGCAAAAATCATAAATAGATTTATGTTTAGCTCATGTTCTGGTGATTAACCATGAGAAGTGTATGCACTGGGTAGCCGCTGCCCCTTTGGCTTAGACCACAGAAAGAATACATGGAGATCAGATCCAAACCCCAACCATGGCCCAGACAATGCACAACCCACGACCTGAAGCAGAAACACCCAGTCAAATACAGCACAGATCAGCCAAAGCGTACCTGACCTGCAGACTCATAAATATAAATATACATGATTGTTGGTGCAAGCCACTGAGTTTTGTCAATATAAAATTATTACTTGAAAGGAATAAGGAGTGTTACAACTATACATCACCTTAGAATTCTATTTGATATTTGAAACAACTGCATGAAACATATAGGGCAGGTATCTCTGTTTACACATATAAGAAATTTTGGGTTGAAGACATTGAAAATTGTCTAAAGCAGTACACTCAAGCCTTGAACCAGATCTTCTGACTTCACTGCCTTCACCACATCGTACAATAAATTATGCAGTTGCTTTCAAACATTTTTTTGGCCAAGATCCATAGTAAAAAATCCATTTTAAATCACAATTCAGAGACACACACACATATAAATGTAAGAAGCATTTCAAGAAATAATATTAACTCTTACTATGTGTGATGTGCTCTGACATTTCCTATTCCATCTTATTTTATTCTACTTTTATTTTATCTTATCTTATATATATATTAAGATATATATATAGATAGATATAGATATAGATATAGATATAGATATAGATATAGATATAGATATAGATATGGTTCCCAAGTAGCTGGGACTACAGGCATGTGTCACCATACCCAGATAATTTTTTTTTAATTGTTAGTAGAGACAAAGTCTCGCTATATGGCGCAGGCTGGTCTTGAACTCCTGAGTTCAAGCAATCCTCCCACCTCAGCCTCTCAAAGTGTTGGGATTATAGGCATTAGCCACTATGCCTGTCCAATTCCACTTCTTAAAAAAAAACATTTCTTGCTTCAATCTATAAAATTGATTTCACAATCCTACAATTTGAGAAGCATTCTGTATTTCAGATAATTAAAATATATTTTTTACATAAATTAAGTAGAACCAAATAAAAAGTTTCATTAAAAGAAACTCTACTATACATTTTTCCTGATTTCCTAAGAAAAAATATCCAAAGAAATGAATGCAAAACCTATTTGAAAAATTATATAACATCTTAATTCAAAAGGATAAATTTGCCTGGAAAGAAAAAGAAGCATAAACTATAATACCTCAATGGTAGTGATTTATTCCTGCTAGTAAACATTATGTGACTTAAAAATTATTTCGCCATCTTTAATATAGGGTGACTTGTTTGTGTAACAGAAGATGAGAATGGGGAGAAGAAAAATTACAGAACAGTAAGAAGACTAGATCCAAAAATCCTCGCAAGTTAAAAGAAGGAACTGGTGGATTTGAGGCTGACAAATTTTGACAATGTGAATTTATCACTCAGAAGCCAATGGATGAATTCAAAGAATATATTTCCAAAAGTAAGGTAGTATATAATACTGAAAATTGAAACATATAATCTATCACTTGGGAGAAAATAATCATTTCTATAAAGTTCGGTGTGTGTAAAATATGAACTCATTGGAAATTTAGTATTTACTAGTTCATACTTTTATTAACTTATAGATGTTAAGATTGATTTTGTCAAATCATTAGTAAATTTTTGTCTAGAGCTGCACTAGCTTGCTTTGGCTATTTAAATTTAAGCTAATTAAAATAAAGAATTTAGTTCCTTACTTGCATTAATCACAGTATAAGTGCTTGGTATCCACATGGTGATTCCATGGCTACCATATTGGAAAGTGCAGGTATAAAATATTTTCATCATCACAGAAAATTTTTTGGCATAGCACTGGTCTAGAATATAGCAAAATTTATTTCTAAGACTCATTCTCCAAGCTAGACACTTGGGGAACCAGCCTATGTGAACAAAAGGATATTATAAGTAGAAACTCATTTTAGAAACAGCCAAAAATGATTATCCTCTTCACTGTAGCAGATGCAGAAGGTTGCTGATACCATTCTAGAAATCCTGTTCACGGTTACCATTGTTGATTGCACATAACGCTGACTTCATGCTTTCACTGTGGACTTAATAGTAACACTGATACCAGCTATCACTTTTGAGTGCTTACCATGTACCAAGCACTGTCTTAGCATTTTATATTTTAAAATTCCATTCTGTGTTCATGACAACCATATAAAAATAAGTATCCTATTCCTGTTTTACAGATGAGAAAACTGAAGCTCACAGATGTTAAGTAACTTACATAAGATTATACAGTGGCAGAGCTGAGATTCAAAACGGAGTTAGTCTGATTTCAAGTCCTATAATCTTTCTACTACACCATATTGTCTCCCTAAACAATCCTAGATACAAGAGAAAATAAAGAGGAAATGACACAGTCTGCCTTCTAAAACCTCTTGGCCTATAATGTGACATAGGTGGAAGACACAAATAGCACAGAGACAAAGGAGAAGATACAACCCAGATGACATGGGTCAAGTATCATGCTACCAAACACAAGGATCTCAATGTGCAAAGCCCTGGGCCTGGTTCACTCTGAAGAAGCATTTCTGCAGGAGACTTTAGGGCTAGTGACTTGAAGACGTCCTGAGGTTTGGATTTGCTTAGCCTCAAGTCCCACTGTCTACACCTTTTACAACATGATGAACTCCACGCCAGCCTAAGAATCAACGTGCAACTTAACCTTTCAGCCTTCCCAATAAAATATGCAACATTTTTGTGGAACTTTTCAGTTTTCCAATTGCTTCCAATGTGGCTATTTAATCAATCCTTACTCTAAGCAAATATTCTTTAAGGAATTTTAAGAAACTTTTTTTTTCTTTGCATAATGTTAACAGAAGTGGCATCAACTGATCACTTAAATTCAGAAGCACTTCCTCAGAGCTAACGTAGCTCTCAGCCAAAACAAGTGTTCAAAACAGATGAAATGGAACTATGGCAAGAAAGAAGTGCCTTTCTAAAAGTATGTGTCTAAAGAAGAGAAGAATTTCAGACATCTGATATAAAGCTGACTGTATTACATTGCGACAATACGGCAGACTTTTTGACTAAGCCAAGTTTACACCACTGTTCTGTCATGCCAGGAGATTCAGTGGCAAAAGAATCATTACAACTCTGCGGTCAGTTTACAAAAATGAGTTCAGGTGATATCTCTACTTTTTTGGGACAGGTTTAATAAAGACTTTATGTTTGCTAAAAATGGAAAAAAAATTGCTTTGCACTCTTATGAATGTAAGTTTCTAATCATCATAGACAAAATATCAGGCCATTCATTAAATCTGCAATTTTTTTTCTTTAAAATAATATAGGGCCTTTTCTGCCCCTAATCCTATCATGCTTTTTCAGTGTTCTAAATGAGTAAAATATTAACAATGTTCAAGGTATTGTATGCTGACATATTTGCATACATAGATAGAGATCTTGACTTTTTATGTCTGCTGATGCTAGGAGCAGACATAAAAGGTGTAAAGGAACATTAAGATAGCCCTGGATGAGGGAAAAATCTGAAATAAGATGTGATTGTTGGAAAGCTATAAAAGAGAGGTGAAACATTTTTCAAACGATGCATTGCAAAAGAGTTGTTAGGGTAATGTGAATATCGCCAAGAGTAACTGGGAGAGGTAGATTCAGATTACAGATTGAAATGGATAAAGACAACCCGAAATTGTGAGTAAAAAGAGATGAAGTGAAAAAAGACAATGTTGAAATAAATAGAAAAGTCTTAAAATAATGAAGGAGTCAAATATATAAATCTCCTAATTGTTGACCACACCAGTTATCATCTGTCAATGGTGTGGAGTTTTAAAATTGTCTGACAATAAGTTTTGCATTGGTTCAATACCAGAAAATGTATCAAGAGCTGAACTATAAAAGACAGCCATCAATCACAATGTTAAAAACCTACCACTTCAGAAGCACACCTGTCTCTTGCCCAGGTTGTATCCTTCATTTCTTACTTTTAAGGTCCCCTGTTTCTGCTCTTGAGTTTGATGTAAATGGCTCTCAAGAGATGCAATCTCTTATCACCCTGCTATGTGGTACATTTCATCCTTGTCTTCAAACATTACCATCATAAAATCAGATGGTTCATAGTTACTGCAATAGGAACATATAGTAGAGTTGCAACATGTAACAGAAAGAGATAAATGGAAGAAGTATGGGTGACTCCATCCACCATTCAACTCAATGAGTGAATGCCTTGGAGTGAGCATGAAGAGTGAGACATGACTCCACTGAGCCCTTGGTCGGTCACAGTACATGTGTACCTTTCATAGTATGACCATCTGACAACACTATGTGGTAATTTCATCTAAGAAACACGTATATTTTTCATACAAAGCACAAACATTGCCAAACACAAGTCAACTTGTTTATCGACTCCCCATTTGATTCAACAGCAATCTATCCCAACAATGAAAGTAAAGTGATAGGGGTTAAAATCTTTGAGATAGGGTATGAATGTCTCCAATGTGGCAGGAATATATGGCTCTAAATGCACATAAAATCAATACAGACAAATCCATGTAGACCATTAAATTATGAGGAATTTATGAGATTTTTTTAAAGTAATTTGGTCACATGCAATATTCAACCTTTTAGGCTGAACTTGGAACATAACCCCCTCCTGAAATGTCACTCCACTGGGATGAAATACACTGAGTTTATCTTAGTAGTAGGATTTATTTCACTGGCTTCACAAATAATTTTTATTCTAAGTTTATAAACATTCCAGAGGTTGAAGGGACCCGTTATACCTTACTACACTTACTAGGAGAAATTCATTGTTTTTGCCTTCACTTGTGAAGATTGTAGATTTGTCCCTACAAATATCAAGGGTCTGATATCACTGTACAGATTTTGAAAGTGGCTTCCTAATTCCGCTCTTCCCCCTCACTCAGCTGGGAGTTGACTGTTTTTAGTATCTGACTACTGGAGGACTACAATGTTTACTGTATCTGTAGGAAAGACATCCCAGGAATGGTGCTCAATGACTTACAAACCCACCTAAATGAACTATCATCCAAGAGAATGTTTCTATGTTTTGTTCAGAGCTGTATCACAAGAGCTATGTTAACGAAGGTAATAAACTCAAAACATTTTGGATATTTGGCAGTTCCTTGTTTTGCAAAGCTGGTAATTCTATGGCATCTATTCTACTGCACATACTATAAAATGCTATATTGGGACATTTAAATATGATGGTCTTATAATGTTTGTGGAGAGAACATAACTAAAAAGACTAATGTAGACCTATATTCCTTTGCTTGGTATACATATAAAAGGAATCCTTTAATATGCTATGACCACCCAAATGTTATGATTTCTAAAGAAAGAAAGGCTCAAAAAAGTAACAGTTTGGCCCTTCTTTTCTTTTCTCTTCTTCTTCTTTTTTTTTTTTTGAGACAGGGTCTCATTGTCTTAGTGTCACCCAGGCTGGTGAGATTACAGTTCACTTCAGCCTTAACCTCCCCGGCTCAAGAGATTCTCATGCCTCAGTCTCCCAAGTAGCTGGGACTACACGTCTGTGTCACCATGCCAGGCTAATTTCTGTATTTTTTTTGTAGAGACGGGGTTTTGTCATGTTGCCCAGGCTGGTCTTGAACTCCTGGGCTCAAGCGATCCTCCTGCCTTGACCTCCCAAAGTGTTGGGATTACAGGCATGAGCCACTGTGTCTAGCCAGGTTCTTATTTTCTAGAAGGAAATTATGTCAGCCATGTACTTGACATTCCAATTTAATGAAAGAAAAAATCATTTTCCACTTAAAATGTTAATATATAAGACTAATTTTATACACATGTATATTTACATATAATATTTAGATATATACATCTATTTTAAGATATACATATATATTATATTAATATTATACATGAATGCATATATTAAATATATGTAATATATTCAAGTTGACTTATAATGCTATTTAATAAAATAGCCCTTAGTACATTAGTAAACAAAAGTACCAGGAAGAAACTGGGACTCCTTCCTTTCTTCCCTGAGACCAAGCCATGATCCCTTCCTTGGCAGAAAAGCAGAAAGAGGGTGACTGGTGAAGATCACCCACTGTTTCTGAGGTGAAAGTCACCAGTGTAAAGGTACCTTTGACCTGTGTTTGCTAACAAATTGGCACAATTTTTTAAAATAGCAACTCTAAATTTACTTTATGTAAAAAAAAAACTACACCTAACCCTGACCTAATCCTTCTGAAAGCACTTCAAAAGGATTTTCTCATGCTACACTAGCTGTATTCAAATCAAAAATAAACCTGGAGTTGCTTCTTTCAAAATGAACTGCAAAAAACCAGGAAAACAATCTTTTCTGGTGGGACATCTCCATATAAAAAAAGTAGTCTTTCCAATGGCGAATAAAAATGAAAAATCTAAAAAGTATAAAAGCTGGTAGATAAAAGAATTACCAAAGAAAAATTATCTTTAAACAGTTACCCAAAATGCAGGAAAACATATCACAGCATAATAAAAGGAATATTCATTACAGTTATTGACTTTTATTACCATTTGACAATAGTTTTTTTTGCCAACTGAGAAAAATCATCCAAAAGCAAAAATAAAATATAATAAAATAATTCCAGTTTAGGAAAGCAAACTGTTAATTTATTCCCTTAAACTATTCCTTCCCAAGCTCTCAATTCAATACAATAAATATTTTTGAGCACATACTATGTGCCTGCTATGTGCAATGTGCCAGACATTATACATATATATATGATCCAGATGGCCAGATAATTTTATATACATGTATATATACCTACATATACATATGTGCACACACATATACACACTATATATGAATAATATCCAAGCTATTTCACTCTTCACTTTCTTTTGTAACTATTAAAATATTAATTGATTCCCTATCATTTTGATAAAAAACAAGTGCAAGTCCAATGACACATCTAAGGTACATCATTTCCTCCTCAAATTTACAATCATCTGGGCTACAGTAAATAACAGAAATTATTATGATACTCTTATTTAGTTTTCATAAAAATTTACAGCAGGAAATTATAAGTATTAATATTAGGGCTTCAGGACTCAGTAAGTGAAGTCTAAACATCATTTTCACATTATGTTGTTATATTTTGGGCTAATTATATTCACTTATGTCTAAACATTAAAGTTATTAATTACTCAATAGAGTAATTGCATTGAAATTATATTGAAATATAAGATTAAAAAAACTTGGTCACATTGCCCACTACTAATTACAGTGGTGTAGCTCCTGCACCATTCCCTATGTGTAGAAATATGGCTAAACACAAGTAAAAACCAAGACTAAATATAAAAACCACACTAAAGCAATTTTAATAAATAAGAGAATGACAGGCACTTTCAAATAAGATACAGATGCTTTCACTATCTATAAAAATAAAATAAATTTAAATGAACTGAAAATATTGCTATTCATAAAGTTATAACTGATTTTGCCTTAAGAAAACTTCATAAGTCAATTTAAATACAAGAAGTTTATTATTGACTTCAAGTTTAGAAAATATCTTTTTCATTATTAAATGTATTTACAATGCTCTCAGATTCTCATCATGAGGTTAAAAATACTTAAAAACCAACAAGGATGCCATTCATAATCCTAAATTAAATAAAGTTTTTGAAACAGTTTGTTCAAAATTGACACTATTACCTTAAATGAAGAGCAGCCTAAAGGTCATTTCAAAATGGAATTTCAACAATTTTCTATACTTCTACATATGCTTCAGATGGAATATTTTCCCAGATACTAAAATTACAGGAAAATCAACATACATGCAGGCATACTCTTCAAAGCCAAAAATTTTTCAGTGTAGATATAAAAGTATTGACAACTACAAAAGTCACAATTTCCAAAGAAAGCTGGATAATTAGTCTGCTACTATTGCCATAGTAAATATAGTTTTTTAGATATGGTATCTGCTACTAAAAATTATTGTGTAAAAGAAATTGGCCCATTTATTCTTAACCAGAACAAAAGGCAATTTTTGGCAAAATTATTTTGTCTCTTAGATGGTGTACACATTTTTATTACTTTTCTACTATCACAAATTAAAACTCTTATACCAAATGGTACTCTTACAGAAACTGTCTAGAAAATAATCAAATATTCTGATTGCTAAAGGGAATATAAAATGAAACTTTTGGCTTATTTTGTATCTAACTTCCAAGACTTCGATGTACAGTATTTACTTAGCAAATACAATTTCTGTTCTTTAAATACTGTGCTGCTTATATTTTTTTCTAAAGTGTACTCCTATCTAAATGGTCCCAAAAACATTTGGGAGTAAACTTCCCTGTGAAGATAAAATATTTTGTTTCATAAAAAACAAAATAGGCCTTTAGGAAAAAAACATGCAGTTAGGGACACAAGACACCTCAGTCATCATCTTAATCTATCGCCTCACTTTACAGGTGGGAACGTGGGATCCAGTGAAGTTAAACCACTCGCTAAGCCCACTCAACTGTACTAGAACTCAAGCTCCAGACTCTTCGCCGATACCCATTTCCCTTCAAATGTGGAATAATGCCAAGCCACAACGCTAACTCAGTTACAAGCATAAATAAGCTTCTATTGGTAATAATTAACTTTTCAATGCAATAAAGAAAACATATCGTCTGTTTCTCCTCAGACAACTGTTAATCAGCAAGAACTTTTTCGTTTTGCTCTTTTATTCTCTTATTAGTTCTGTCAATCTCTGACAACTAGAACAAATGTAAGACTTATTCTTTTTTTTTAAGCAGCATCTTAAAGCCATACATACTATTTCTTAATTTAGAGGAAAAAAAATGCATTTTCTTAGGTTTGGTTTTTGTCAATATTACTGTTTGGTATAGGTGCTAGGACAAAAGAAAATGTTTATTTTCTCTCAAACCAAGAAAACCTCAAATGTTTTTCCAGTTCAAACTAAATGATTTTGTTTTATAGGAAACTGTATTTTAATTTTTCGCTAAATGAACTTCAAACAACTGAGAAAAGGAAGTCATATTCTTGTAGTCTGGATCACTTAATAGTTCAGACCATGGAATACAGCTCCTCTTCTTGCCTATACAAACACACCGGCTCTGGCTGAGGTCACCTCTCTCTACCTACCTACCTACCCAGTTTCTGTTACTCCTTGGTGTACCTAATTACAGAGAACATCAGTATGAATGCTCTGGTTCCCAAATCCTAAGGAGAGTAGCAGAGGTAAAGCATTACTAAAAACATACCTAAAGCATTCTCACCTATAGGCTCTTACTAACATTTATGCTTGGATGCAAAATATTCTGACCACCCAAACAGCATGTCTGTGTTCAACTTACCTTTAAGCTGTTACTCTGCTTGTTGGTGACACAAAATAATTCCTCTTCCACTGGAAAACTGGACAATTTAACCTTATTTTGTTGGAAGGTTTTCACCAAAATTAATGACATGTTCTTATGTGAAGAGGAAACAGCAATTTTAACAACAAAACTAGGTTTATTTATAGAGACATAACTGATTGAAAAAAAAATCCTTCTGTACTGAGACATGGTGTACGTGATCTCACCTTATGGGGAGTTCTTAGAAAACTCACTTTAGCTGTGGGTTATGTAAATATTTCTGTAAAATTCTATTTGAGGAACTTAAGAATTTATTGAACTTGGTTTTAACTCAAAAATAACCTATATTTTCTAACTAATTTTAGCAAGCAGCACCAAAATGTGAAGTAGATTTTTAGCTAATATTTTGAGTGTGTTATTTTAAATTAACAGCTTCCACATACAAAGGAGTAAACTCATCTCTTCAATTTATTGACAATCCATTCTATTCCTATGTATGTATACAGCTTTTCATAGTTTAGAAAACACTTTCACATACATTACTGAATTTATATGCTGTGATAATTAGAAAACTAGCAAAATTCCTGCTTTCACCCATTTTCATAAAGAAAAATAAAATAGGCATAGAACAGAGAGATATAGGGTAAATGATTAGGACAAAAGACTTTAAAATGGAGAGTAAGTCAATAGAATGAATAGGAGAAATCTCAAAAAAATGATTTTAAGACTCAAATTTCCAATTTAGCCCATTTATCCAGGTTATCTAGATGAACAAAATGGAATTTCAGACAGCCCCATTTCAATTTTGACCTCTCATTGGGAGTTTCCCAACACGGGTTTATATCCTGCCAAACTACAAATCTGCTCCATATTTACAACGGCACTTTGATTTCTTAGCCATCCATGCCCGATTTCCTCATTGCCCACCATCAAGGCAAGCTTCTGTCACATGGTTCATCGGTATCTAGGCAAGCTACTTACACACAGTAGGCATAAAAATAATTTTTTTATTTGACTAGAATTATTTTGAAGAAGGCAATGGTCTGGTTCTTAAACAGAAAAATAAACATGATCTGGTTCTTAAACATCAATTAGAACAAATCACATGGAAGACAGAACAGCAAATATCAAATTACAAGGAAGCTGCAGGTCATAGGCTCTGTGATGCTCTCTGTGCTATACTATTTAGACCACTGACTTTAATGAGGATGCCACCGATGTGCTGATCAAATGTGTCTGTGACACAAACCTCAGAGGAAGAATTTATTATGGCAATATGTTGAAAAGAGGATCCAAGAGAGCTCGGACAAGCTGACACGACAGGCCCAAACGAAAATGACCAAGTTCCAGACAGGTAAATGCAAATGTCTATATTCACCACCCAGTTGTAGGTCAGCAGATGCGTGCCATGAGGGGTTTTAATTGAATTTTAAGCTCAATAAGAATTTACAATGAGACATATTTGATAAACAATAAGGCAAATGATAGTTGGCTCTGATGCTAGATTAACATAAGCTTAGGCAATAGCTCCACTGCTATGCACTGGGCAGTTCAAACTAGCAGTCTCATATTCAGTAATCATCACGACTCTGGAAAGCAATGTGATAAAATGGGACACAGATGGGAGAGAGATGAAGGTGGAAAAGCTAAGGATCACAGTATTAGTAAAACTAGTAATTATTAGTGTGTATTGAGCAATTATTACATGTCATGCATTGTACTATGAGGTTAACATAGATGACCTAAAATTTTACAAAATCCTATAAGGTAGGCATTGTATCTATCCTCATTTTACAAAGAGGAAAACTGAAGCTTGCACATTTTCAGTAACTTGTTCAGATTCATTGGGTAGTGGGTAGTAAAATGAGAAATTTACTTGAGGCAGTCACTTGGCCATCTCTTCACCTACCTATCCATCCAGTTACTGTGTTACTTGAGGCAGTCACTTGGCCATCTCTTGACCCACCTATCCATCCAGTTACTGTGTTACTTGAGGCAGTCACTTGGCCGTCTCTTCACCCACCTATCCATCCAGTTACTGTGTTACTTGAGGCAGTCAACTGGCCATCTCTTGACCCACCTATCCATCCAGTTACTGTGTTACTTGAGGCAGTCACTTGGCCATCTCTTGACCCACCTATCCATCCAGTTACTGTGTTACTTGAGGCAGTCACTTGGCCATCTCTTCACCCACCTATCCATCCAGTTACTGTGTTACTTGAGGCAGTCACTTGGCCATCTCTTCACCCACCTATCCATCCAGTTACTGTGTTACTTGAGGCAGTCACTTGGCCATCTCTTCACCCACCTATCCATCCAGTTACTGTGACCCTAATTGCAATCAGGGCACTGGGGCACTGAATACAAAAGAGAATAAGACAAGTAAAAGTCTCTGTCCTCAAACAACCTACATTTTAATGGAAGAAACTGATTGTTTAAAAGCAAATGAACAATAAAATAATAAAAAACTTATAATAAGCTCCATGAAGGAGGGGAATGAGGTGCTGTGAGAGAATAACAGAGTATACATTAGTAGCCAGTGAAGTAGAGACATTGAATTGGAAACCAAAAGAAAGAAAAAGAGCTGGTTAAGCAAAGGAAGAGTGGGAAAGAATATATGTGGAAGATGTTTGTCCAAAGGCCATGGCATGTCTGAGAAGCTAAAGGCAAACCACGGAGGCTCCACTGAATGGACAGGGGAAGGGTGGATGAGAAGAGGGTGGAAAGACAGGCAGTGGGGAGATTATGCAGGGCCTTATAAACTGTAGAAAGGAGTTTGGACTCATGTTTCTAAATGCAAATGGGAAGCCATTCCAAATTGCTAAATGGAAGAGCAATGCAATGCAATGCAATTCACGTTTTGCTTTCGCAAATGTGTTGAGTATGAATAAAGAGGGCATAACTTTATGAAGCTAAGGTTGTGATAAGGAAAGATGATAATAAACAAATGAGTAAGATATGGAGTAAAATAAAGCAGAAAGGGGGCAGGAGTACTCGGAAACTGGTTTACAACATAAAACAAGGTAGTCAGGAAAGTCTCACACAGATGATTTCAGCGATGACTTGAAGGGTTATTTTGTGATCCACAGGATATCCCAGAGAACCCGGCGAAGAAAAGAGCAAGTCCAAAGGCTCTGAAGTGGTCGTGGGGGCAGACTGGTTAGCACCTTGCTAACCAGTGACATAAACCTGAGAGGAATAATTTATTATGGCAATATGTTGAAAAGAGGATCCAAGAGAGCTCGGACAAGCTGACACAACAGGCCCAAACGAAAATGACCAAGTTCCAGACAGGTAAATGCAAATGTCTATATTCACTGCCCAGTTGTAGGTCAGCAGATGCGTGCCATGAGGGGGTCACTGTTTGACTTTGCCTTTGACTGCTACTGAGGTAGGAACCACTGGATGGTTTCAGAAGGGTGACAAGATCAGACATAGGTTGTTTTTTGTTTGTTTTTTTGTTTTGTTTTGTTTTGTTTTGAGATGGAGTCTCACTCTATTGCCCAGGCTGGAGTGCAGTGGCGCAATCCCGGCTCACCGCAACCTCCACCACCCGGGTTCAAACGATTCTCCTGCCTCAGCCTCCCGAGTAGCTGGGACTATAGGCACCTGCCACCGTGCCTGGCTAATTTTTATATTTTTAGTAGAGACAGGGTTTCACCATTTTAGCCAGGCTGGTCTTGAACTCCTGACCTCCTGATTCACCTGCCTCGGCCTCCCAAAGTGCTGGGATTACAGGAGTGAGCTACCTCACCTGGCTGATGAAAGTTTAACAGACTTTCTCTGGCCCTTATGCTGTGAAGGGGCTAGATGAGGAGAAGCAGGGAGCCCCAGTTAAGAGACTGTTGCTGGCCAGGCATGGGGGCTCACGCCTGTAATCCCAGCATTTTGGGAGGCCGAAGTGGGCAGATCACAAGCTCAAGAGATCGAGACTATCCTGGCTAACACGGTGAAACCCCATCTCTACTAAAAATACAAATAAAAAAAAATTAGCCAGGCATAGTGGCGGGTGCCTGTAGTCCCAGATACTAGGGAGGCTGAGGCAGGAGAATGGCGTGAACCCAGGAGGCAGAGTTTGCAGTGAGCTGAGATCGCGCCACTGCACTCCAGCCTAGGTGACAGAGCGAGACACCATCTCAAAAAAAAAAAAAAAAAAAGAGACTGTTGCAATAACACAGCTGAAGACGACAGTACCTTGAACTAGACGGTAGCAGTGGATATATGTGAAGAAGATATATGGACAGAAGAAAAGCATCTGAAAAAATGCTCAGTACCATTCATCACTAGGGAAATGAAAATTAAAACCACAATGAGATACCATTATATACTTACTAGAACAACTAAATATAAAAAAGACTGATCAAACATTTTCAACACATATAACTGCTAAAATATGAGTATCATTATAAAAGGAGTTATTCTCATCTTGATTCTAAAACTTTCCATCAGACATAGCACAACAAAGACTGACCTAGGAGTGAGAAGCTCAGTCATCTCATTTAGATACTATCACTAAGTATTCAAGGTTTGTTCTTAGCTCACTATGCATTCACTCAATCAACAGATAAATATCTGCCGTAGGTCTCCTCTGTGCCGAGTACCGGACACACAATGAAGGGTAAGTTAAGACCCTGACTTTAAGGACCTTACAGCCACTTCTGGCATGTCATTTCAGTTTTGTGGGGCTCTGTCTTTCCTTCCTCATCTGTTGCACCCGCTTGTGCCCTCCAGGTACACACAGAACAGTGCCTTTGTGACTCTGTCCTGTTTTCCTGAATGGCCTTCACTTCCCACTCTTGTTCCCTCCAGACTGGGCTAAAATATGACTTGGATGATATATTTTTTTTCTAAAATAACAACTTTATTAAGATCATCCACACACCATAGAATTCACCCACCGAAAGTATACAATTGAATAGTTTTTAGTACATTCACGGAGTTTAGTACATTCACTGTGAGGCCGCCATGACTATAGTGCAAATGGCATCTGTGGAATTGTGCAGTGCACAGCCTGTAGAACAGTATGGAGCAAGCCTGTTCATCTGTATTAGCAATGAAATCAATTTTAGAGAATGTGGCTCAAATCTATGGGTAAGTAGGCTTCCAATGATTGAACTTCAGAATTGGACTGACGTGCTAACACTCTAGTCACCAAGAGGAAGGAGGAAGGTGCTGGCTAACACTCCTCCTCCTTAGTTACTCTAGGGAATAAATCTCTACCTGGACATGAAGTTCAGGACTGAGGAAATAAAATAGTTGTGCAACTATTACCACAACCGATTTTAGAACATTTTATCACCCCAAAAGAAACTCCATGCCCATCAGGAGTCCCTCCCATTTGTCCCCAATTTCAGACCTGGACAATCACTAATCTTTCTGTCTCTATAGATTTGCCCATTCTAAACATTTCATATAAATTGAATCATACAATATGTTGTCTTTTGTGACTGGCTTCTTTCATCTAACATGATGTTTTCAATTGTAAGTCTACCATGCTGTAGAATGTATCATTACTTCATTCTTTTTTACTGCCATGTAATATGTATCTATATACACACACCCCACATTTTATTTATCCATTCATCAGTTGATAGACATTTGGGGTATTGGCAGTTTGGGGCTACTATGAATAATGCTATGAACATCCGTGTAGAAGTTTTTGAGTAGCATGTTTTGATTTCTCTTGAGTATAGACCCAGGACTGGAATTGCTGGGTCATATGATATCTCTATGTTGAACATTTTGAGAAACTGCCCGAATATTTTTCAGCCTGTATGACTTTAAATTCTACCAGCAACTTATGGGGGAGTTCCAGTTTCTCTACATCCTCACCGACACTTGTTATTATCTGTCTTTTTTATTACACTTATCCAAAGTAGATGTGAAATGGTTTCTCATCTTGGTTTTGGTTTGCATTTTCCTGATAGCTAATGATGTTGAGCATCTTTTCACATGTTTATTAATCATTTGTTAATAATATAGTTATTATTAACATATCTTCTTTAAAAAAAGTCTATTCGGATCTTTTGCCCATTTAAAAATTGAGGAGTCTTTTTATTATTAAATTGTAAATGTACCTTACATATCCTAGATACAAGTCTCTTATCAGATACATGAGTTACCAAAAATTTTCTCCCGTTCTGTGGGTTGTCTTTTTTCTTGATAATGTTCTTTAAAGGTCAAAAGTTTTTAATTTTGATGACATTCAATTTATCTATTTTTTTTCTATTGTTCTTTGTGCTTTTGGCATCATACCTAAGAAACCATTACCTAATCCAAAGTCACTAAGATGTATGCCTATGTTTTCTTCTAAGAGTTTTCTAAGTTTAGCTCTTACATTTAGTCTTTCATCCATTTTGAGTTAATTTTTGTCTACACTATGAGGTAGGAACCCAAGTTCTTTCTTTTACCTGTGGGTATCAGGTTTTCCCAGCACCATTTACTGTAAAGTCTGTTTGCTCCCTATTGAGTTTTAATATCCTTGCTGAAAATCAATTGACTGTAAATGTGTAAAATCTTTCTGGACCCTCTCCCGCCACAGTAGGCCACACCCTTTGCTGAGCCCCCAGCACATTTAACTTCCTCACCAAACTATAAGAGTTGTTAAGAGCAGTAAATATATTTTTATTTTTCATTGCACCCCTGTGCGTATTTGTTTGCAACACATAATAGGTTATCACTAATTATTAGTTAAATAAATGGCTGCATGGAAATAAGGTAATTACTCCCAGCTGACTCACAGTCTCATCATATACAGAATGGAGGAGGTGGACTAAGTTATTAAAGTCTTTCTGACCCTTGGTGCCCACCAAGCCATTGCTCTTTATTATCTGAAGCCTTTCCTTCCATCCTTTATATGTGGCCATTGAAATAGGAAAGACTAAAGACAAAAGTTACCTTCTTTTTTTTTTTCTTGGTTTTTTGAGACAGAGTCTCGCTCTGTTGCCCAGGCTGGAGTGCAGTGGCACGATCTCAGCTCACTGCAACCTCCGTCTCCCAGGTTCAAGCGATTCTCTTGCCTCAGCCTCCCAGGTAGCTGGGAATACAGGCATGTGCCACCACGCCTGGCTAATTTTGTGTATTTTTAGTAGAGATGGGATTTCACCGTATTAGTCAGGATGGTCTCGATCTCCAGATCTCATGATCCACCCACCTCGGCCTCTCAAAGCGCCGGGATTACAGGCATAAGCCACCACACCCGGCCCAAAAGTTACCTTCATAAATTCCATTGCTATGTGGGTAAGAAGCATCTTCTGAAAAATGCCAAAGTACATAAAGTTATTATTATATATTATTATTACTTTTCAGACAGGGTCTTGCTCTGTTGCCCAGGCTGCAGTGCAGTGCATGAACACAATTTATTGCAGCCTTGACCTTCTGGGTGTGAGTGATCCTCCCACCTCAGCCTCCCATGTAGCTGGAACTACAGGCACATGACACCATACCTGGGTAATTTTTTGATTTTTTTTTTCTTTTTTTTGTAGAGATGGGGTCACACCATGTTGGCTAGGCTGGTCTCAAACTCCTGGGCTCAACGATTCTCCTGCTTTGGGACACCTGAAGTGCTAAGATTACGGGAGTAAGCCACCATGTCTAGCATGAAGTTATTTTCGACAATCAGCAGTGGTTGTAGGGGAAAAGGGATTTTCATACCAGTAATGGTTTTTTAAAATCCATTATTGTGGTTCCCTTCTGAAAATCCTGATGCATTATTATACTGATGGATAGGTGGTCATGTTTGCCTCTTCTGAGTTATAGTTTAAGGTGAAACAGTATAAACAGGAAAAAAAAAGCCCAATTCTTCTTAGTATAAATGCCTTTAGAATGTCTTCCTCTAAAGTCTTTCCCATTTTCTCTTCCCACTTCCCCCACCACCCCCCCGCCACTACTTTTCTTTTCTCTTCTTGTTTTTATAACTAAAGATAATTCTAGCATCTTTCTTGCTCTCCTAGCCATTGAAGTAAGTCTATGGTATGTCAAATTCAGCATTGAGATACTTCAAACTTCAGGTTCTGCTCAAGAAAAATCATTAGTAAGTCACAGTAAGGTTATAGATTAATAAGATATATAGAAAGCTATATATCTACATATAGATTTAAAAATACATACAGATATTTGATGTATTCGTTAGTCTGTGTTGACGCCGCCTTTAAAATGAAACATGTCTGGTTCTTATTATATAAAACCTTGCATAGCTTAATTTGCTATACACATAGTGGACCTTCAGTATATTAGGGAAGAAACACTGACCCTCCTACAGTTCTACGATAAATTTAGTTGAAAATGACACCCTAAAGTTTCTAATGCAAACTAGGATATGACAATCACCTCTCCATATGAGTGAATTCAGATTTCTTTGCAGAACATTCTAAGCAAGCTAAAGAAGAATCCACACCAGGTGCGGTGGCCCAGGCCTGTAGTCCCAGCACTTGGGAAGGCAGAGGTGGAGGGATGGCTTGAGCTCAGGAGTTCAAAACCAGCCTGGGCAACATAGCAAGACCCTGACTCTACAAAAAAATACAAAAAGAATTAGCCGGGTGTGGTGGCATGCACCTGTGGTCCCAGCTACTTGGGAGGTGGAGGCGGGATGATCACTTGAACCCAGGAGGTCAAGGCTGCAATAAGCCGAGATTGTGCCACCGCACTCCAGCCTGGACAACAGAGTAAAACACCAAATCCCAAAATAATAATATTAATCATAAAGAAAGAAAGAAGAGTCCAACAGAAAAGGTAGCATTTGAAATAATCTTTCGAGTAGAACGATTCTTTCTCTTCCATCTCAAGATCTCCTTAAAAGTTTATTTTTACCTCCCTCGTTTCCTTGGCAGCCACACTTTCTTTAAAGATATGAGCGTCCCCTCGCACTTTAATGGGAATTTTCAATGACAGCTTGACTCATGAAGAAAGGCTAATACTACTACTTGTATAATTTATTACCATGGAGAGAGGGTAGGGGACAGAGAGAGAGAGAGAGAGAGAGAGAGAGAAGGTATCAGGACTTCAGTTGTAAGTAGAGAGATTTTATACAAAGAAGAATTTTCCATTCCTATAGGAAACTCCAGAAATTTTCAGGGATGGCAGAAGGCAGGCCAGAAATAAAGACCCTGCAGCTTTCTTGTCTTTTTCCTAAATGTAAGTGTAACAAATCCACTTAAGTACAGATGTTAACACCAAAAAGAGTTAAATTAACTTGACCATCTGTTAAGAAGAGTAATATGAAAACTCTAAACACCTTGCAACTCATTAACACTCAGGAGCAGCCTAGAGTTAGATCAGGAATCTCTGTGTAGGGTGATCTGTCTCACACTGTGTGTCTAACACTCATGAACAGCCTAGAGTTAGATCAGGAATCTCTTTGTAGCGTGGTCTGTCTCATACTGAACTCCAGTGAGGGTCAGAAAAACATGCCAGGGATCTGTAAAACCTCTAAGACAATTGCAAAATTGTTTTTGGTTTCATTTTGATTGATTTTAAAAAGAACTCCCAGAGCAAAATCTTAAGATGATCATATTCTAGGTCATCTGTGTCCAGAACTACCACAGCTTTTCATTCCATGCTTGCATTTATGAGGGCAACAAGTGAAAACAGAAAGTGAAAGCATTAACTATTAATGGTGCGTTTCTCTAGTGGGAATCCACCAATGTATTCCTGATCATCATAAGTTCACACACCTAAGAAACTCTGGCCGAAGAGATTTACTTTCACAGGTCTTGCAAAAGCTGGTTACTCTCGCACAATACTACCTTTGACAGTTTGCCAGTGCCTCAAATCTTTCCAGTAGAAATTTTAATTCAGAGTGGGGCTTTAATCCTTGTTGCAAATTAGATGATGTCTGTCTTGTAAGTAAACTTAACTCTTTACAAGGCTAGACATTTTATTGTTCTATTACCAATCATAACGAAAATGTCTAAAATTGCAGATGACAGTCAAAATTCATTTTTATAATCTTAACAAAAGTGTCATGTTTATAAAGTGAAAGTGAATAACTGGAAAATACAGAATAAAACTTGAGGCTCCATGCAATTTCTGTTGATTTTATGAATATTTAATTCACAATTAAGAGGGGCAAAGAAATACTTCCTGTGTTTCTAGAAATGCAAGAATTTACAGCTGGAGAAAACTTTTGCTACCACTTGTCCAAGCTTCTCACTTCACTGGGAAATAAACTGAGGCTCTGAGAGGTTTGCTCAGGAAATTAGCTGGAAAAGCTAAATCAGAAAGTCATGACTTTGTACTCATGGTCCTTAAGTAAAGTAGTACCCTGTATGATCTGTGTTTCACCTTTCATCAACAGTCATGTGCTAATCCTCCACAAATCAAGATAATTGTCAATTCTTTATTTCTAGGAAAACAATCCTATATGACTCTAACACTGTAAATAAAATGACATTTTATTTATGTTATCTGAAATTTGAAAAATCTTAAAATTTTTCCATTACATAAAACCTACTACAAAGCAAATGAAATACATATGCATACATTCCCAAACGATACCATGACTTCTGTGCCTGACTGCAGGGCATACAGTATATTACAAGGAGACAATTATATTGGGATTCTGAGTGTTACTAAAACCCATTTTCTATGAGCAATCTATTACAACAGAGAAGTGGCACTTGAAATAATGGAGGTCAGTTATACAAAAATGCTATGGAACCAAAAGACACATATGTTCTTGGATGCACCCTCCTTTTTCACCCCCATTCCTTTGCTCAAGCTGCCATGTTGAACCTTCTAACCAAATAAATTTCTTCTTCTATCCGTGCTGGGCAACATTCTTTTTTTTTTTTTTTTTTTTTTTTTTTTTTTTTGAGATGGAATCTTGCTCTGCTGCCCAGGCTGGAGTGCAGTGGCACAATCCCAGCTCACTGCAACCTCCGCTTCCTGGGTTCAAGCAATTCTCCTGCCTCAGTCTCCCGAGTAGCTGGGATTACAGGCGCGCGCCACCACACCCGGCTAATTTTTGAATTTTTAGTAGATGCACGGTTTTACCACGTTGGCCAGGCTGGCCTCGAACTCCTGACCTCAAGTGATCTGCTTGCCTCAGCCTCTTAAAGTGCTGGGATTACAGGCATGAGCCACCACGGCTGGCCCTAGGCAACATTCTAACCACCCTGCAAGGATGTTATCTTTCCCCTCCCAAATTCCCATGCCTTTTGCATTTTGCTGATAGCTACTATGTTCTCTTTGACATATATTTATTGGCATACCTGGTTTACATACTCCTTTCTGACAGAAATTGATTATAGCTAAGTAGAGTGCACATAATATATGGTTATTGAATTAAAGCAACATATGAAGTTTAGGGCAAAAGGGCTCTAAATCTGTCATAGTGGCTGTTCTCAAAATCTAACTTACTATCATTTTCCCTTACAGGTATATGTAAATGGCCACAGTAAAGTGATCACTATGAAGAATAAGGAGCAACACAGAAAAAATGCTTAAGATAATGTTAAATGAAAAAAGCAAAAACCAAAACTAGAATCTATTTATATTTGCAAATATTATAGATGCATATGTACAAAAAGTGGAAGGTAAAACAGAAAAATAAAAACAATTTACACTGTTTGGGTGATGGAACTACTGGCTTCTGTTAATGTGCTTATGTTTATACAATAAATTTTTTTAAATGTATGCATATGTAGTAATTAGTGATATTTATATTGGATATAGGTACTAATATTTCTGGACTATAAACAAAAAGAAAGCATATGTAGTTGTCTTATGTCTAATGTCTCTCAGCTTGTTGGGCTGCATGGACACATTTAAAGAACTGTCACTACCTGGTAGCTACCAGAACTGCAGAGTTGGTACCTGAGAAGGCACTTTGCAAGTTGGCAGTTGGCTGGTAAGTCAACTTTTACAGTCAAAACAAGCATGCAAAAAAATGTTCAAAGAACCAAAACACATGTCATCCACTGAAACTGAAAATATAGCAAACATTATATTTCTTCAGGGCACACAGGAATATTCTTAGAGTCCAGTTTACAGTTTTCTATTCCCATCCAAAGGCAAATATTTATTTCTTAATGTTTCTCCTATAAGGCATATTATTTCTAAGAAAGCTTGTTTTATTTCCTATTTGTACTCTTATCTTCTAAATATACCTAAATTGCTATTTTCAGATGTGTTGTCTCTGCTTATACATTTGATTTTGTAAAATAAATTATTATGTTAAACAGCATTATCATCTTTGTTGGAAAATCAAATAACAAGCAGAAATTAATAGATTCTTTTTTTGAGCATGTTAATTGAAAAGTCAGTGTTTCTATGAATGAGGTATACATACCCTGCCTCAGAAAACAACTGCCTAAATCATTAACAACGTGACTAAATGCTAAATGCCCCAATGATCTCCAACTCGGTATTATTCACTGGATTGATTTGGAACTGCTTCTTTATGCAGAAAAATTGAATTATATTTTTTTACTGCTAATTTTGTGATTTTACCAACATGATGATTTTAGATGAAGAAAGTAATTTGGCACAGCATTTTAGAAAAATAAGTTCAATCAATAACTTAGACTTTTATTAAATGAACATATTTTAAATTATTTGTATAATCCAATAAATCCTACTTGTCCCATTCAAGCATCATCCAGGACAAGAACAAAAGAGGCTGATTTATTAGACATATGTTAGGCTGAAGAATTTTCTCAGAATTCTTGGTTAGGCTGCGATAAGAACACAAATTTCTCTAAGTATGCTGAACAATGCTTTAGGGCATACTTAGAGAAGATGCTATAAAAAAGCTTTATTGCATCACACACATGGAACCAGATTCTCCCTCTCATGGGCTGTAGCCAGCATGAAGTTCACACTACATTAATTTGCACTTGTCGATATGCTGCTTTGCAAGTATTCTTAAGGCATGTTCTAATGTGTACTCTGACTCCTCAACTAGAATATAAACTCCCTAAGGGTAGGACCTGGGTCTCCTAGTTATTACCCCCACAGTGTCTAGCATACTGGTCTGGGTAAGCCAAGCCCTCTGGAACTGCTGTTGTCTTCGTAGGGAGCAGGGACAAGAATGTGCTAAGTCTACAGACTGAAAGAGGGTGTGAAGAATACTGGAGAGCAACTCTGTCATCACCAGGACCGAGTGATTACATGTACCA
This sequence comes from Homo sapiens, assembly GCF_000001405.40. Taxonomy (NCBI): domain Eukaryota; kingdom Metazoa; phylum Chordata; class Mammalia; order Primates; family Hominidae; genus Homo; species Homo sapiens. Next base: position 243,351,183 of record NC_000001.11, on the reverse strand, counting down.
AAGGCAGGCCCAAATGGCCCCTCTCCCAGTCATTTTGTAGAGGGAGAAGTGAGACTGCAGGTGGTAGTTGGATAAGTTTCTGAAGTCTGGCTCTTGAGAAGTCATCCATTATCTTAGCATATTCCCCAAAAACCTTCTGAAAAAGAGTACACAGCTTTAAAGACACAAAGCAGAGAATAGAACGGAACAGGATTTTACTTTAATCTGTAAGTGCTAGGTTTCAAGTAGAAAAGACTAACACTGCTGTTACCCACTTTTAAAAGATACAACGATGTCTTTCTAGGACGCTTCCAGAATCAAATAGAAGACTGGACCTCAGAGGTCCATGAGCTGGGTCTTCAGGTAAATCATATTGCTGCTACTATTTAAAACTAAAACTTCCAGGGAAAAGGTTCCATGGCCTGTTGCAGCAATTTCAATCTCCTTACTGTCAGAAAATTCTTGTTTCAGGCTATTGTGATTTGTAGTTGCTGTAGTTAAATCCCTTTGTTCTTGTTCTGTCCATATTGAAGACTCAAATCAGGTGTTTAACTTTTTCCTTGAAATAATTTGTCAAATCCTTGAAGATGTGAAGCAATGTTGAAGTCTTCTCTAAGTAAAAGGTACAATTCTTCAACTTTTCTTTATTGCTTTTATATTTCTCTAACTTTAAAAAGGACTGACATAGGCCGGGCGCAGTGGCTCACGTCTGTAATCCCAGCACTTTGGGAGGCCGAGGCAGGTGGATTGCCTGAGCTCAGGAGTTCAAGACCAGCCTGGGCAACACGGTAAAACCCTGTCCCTACTAAAAAACAACAACAACAACAAAATAGCTGGGGGTGGTGGCGTGCTCCCATAGTCCCAGCTACTTGGGAGGCTGAGGCAGGAGAATTGCTAGAACCTGGGAGGCAGAGGTTGCAGTGAACCGAGATTGCACCACTGCACTCCAGCCTGGGCGACAGTATGAGACTCCGTCTCAAAAAAAAAAAGAAAGAAAAAAGGACTGACTTTTAGGGCTTGCAGGCAGGCCTTCTTCTCCTTACACAAAGCCATACAATATAGATGCACTTCTTCCAACAGTCTAGTTAATTCAACTGAATTTAGGCGATAATTCCTGTGTCCTTACACTCCATCCTTAATGTCAGTGTCCAAGTGCTGAATCACTGCTGTAGATATGAGCAACCCTCAAATCCTTTTTTGCCCTCATTTTTCCAGCCAAAATTTTTGGATCTATTTCTTTTGCAGAGATACCCCACCCTGAATATTTGCTTTGATTGCTCCATTAAAGTCATTTCAAACTTGATGTTTTCTACTCAGTAGTAGCCACAACTCCAAAATTATAATTTATACAATGCCGGTAAAAAAAAAAAAAGAAAGACGCTTTCTATATCAGCCTTCTTATCTCTGAAAAATAAAATTGGAACCAACCTAAAAACAAAATTGTAAATATAAAATCATACGGTATTTACACTCCCATCCAAGCCACTAGTAAGTCATGTGCCACTAATAAGAAAATGCCATGATTATCAGTGATACACTCGCTGAGTAATGCCATTAGATTTTTAAGAGACTAAAGATGTGGCACATTTGTTATACTGCAAAATACTCTAAAACCATTGTTATTATTTAAGATACATGGGTCTTCAAACTCAAAGCTCAGCATCCTAGTAAGTCAGAGGAAACTTAAAAAATACAGTTGTATTTCTATACTCAAGGTAGGGATTGGCAACTTTTTCTGTAAAGGGTCAGACAGTAAATATTTTAGGCTTTGTGGGCTATATGGTCTCTACCACAACTCCTCAACTCTGCTGTTGTTGCAGGAAGTAGCAATAGGTGATACATATATGAGTAGGTATGGCTGAGTTCTAATAAAACTTTATTTGTAACATAGACAGCAGGCCAGACTTGACCTATGAGCTGTAGTTGGCTAACACTTTTTTATGAATACTGGGCACATTAGCATATTGAATATGCATATGTGTCTGTATATGTGAGTGGGGATATATACACATATATTAGTATGCAAAATCTCCATTTGCCCATCCCCCTGGTTATGGCAGTTTCTTGGGCACGTGATCAGTGCAGTCACACATGTGCTGTTCAGAAGGGTCCTTACACTTGCAGTTTAATACTCTGTGGTCAATGTCTTGAAATTATTAGCAATTGTATCTTAGAATTGTGTTTTTTTTTTTTTGTTTTGTTTGTTTTGTTTTTATCCAAGACAGGGTTTCGCTCTTGTTGCCCAGGCTGGAGTGCAGTGGCGTGATCTCGGCTCACCACAACGTCCGCCTCCTGGGTTCAAGCAATTCTCCTGCCTCACCCTCCTGAGTAGCTGGGATTACAGGCATGTGCCATCATGTCCGGCTAATTTTTTTTTTTTTTTTTTGTATTTTTAGTAGAGACGGGGTTTCTCCATATTGGTCAGGCTGGTCTCAAACTCCCGACCTCAGGTGATCCGCCACCTCGGCCTCCCAAAGCGCTGGGATTACAGGCGTGAGCCACCACGCCCGGCTAGAATTGTGTTTTGTAGGTGTACTCTGATGGAACAATGGAGACTGAACTCCTGTATGTGGTCTCATCTTTCCACTGCCTCACTGCAGCCCTACGCAGTTCTCAGAAATATACTCCTCTCCAGCTTCCTCTATCCCGCCCTGCCCTGCTGCTGGGGTGGGTCCCTCCACCTAGGGTGGGACCAGGGCACTGGGGGAGGTGCGTATGTCACTGGGGGAGGTGTGTGTTCTCCTGTGTCTTTTGCCCCTGGCAGAATCCTGAATGTGTGTTTAGAGAGGATTGAGTCAAGTGTGCCCATCCCTGCCATCTTAGAGCTGGACAGGGAGGTAAGAATTCCCGCCCCAGGCCGGGCGCGGTGGCTCATGCCTGTAATCCCAGCACTTTGGGAGGCCGAGGCCGGCGGATCAAGAGGTCAGGAGATCGAGACCATCCTGGCTAACACGGCGAAACCCCGTCTCTACTAAAAATACAAAAAAAAAAAAAAAAAAAAATTAGCCGGGCGTGGTCGTGGGCGCCTGTGGTCCCAGCTACTCGGGAGGCTGAGGCGGGAGAATGGCATGAACCCGGGAGGCGGAGCTTGCAGTGAGCCGAGATCGCGCCACTGCACTCCAGCCTGGGCGACAGAGGGAGACTCCGTCCTAAAAAAAAAAAAAAAAGAAAAAAAAAAAAAATGCATGTCCAGCCTGGGTTGGTGAGGGAGGAGGGGCAAGGAGAGAGAGACTGAAGAAGAAAGGAAAATGTTTTATATTTTAGTTCTTTTTAATATCACTTCTTTCCTGCTTTCTGAACAAAAGGGTCCTGTATTTTCACTTTGCACTGGGCCCTAATCAAAGGTTAGCGGCTATAAAGAATCGTCTTCTCAGATTAATTTACCAAAAGGGAAGTTGACAAAAAAACTCTATTTCTGCATCACTCATTTCAGGTCAGCTCATCCTTGTCATGTTAGGGCCTCCTGCAACATGTCCAAATCTTAAATACAAGGCTGTGAAATTAATGCTGAATTTGGGGTTTCGGATGCGAGGAAGCTCCTTTTGGGATATGATTATCAGGAATGCTGCGTGGTAGCCATTTCCTTCACATACTTTGCTGTAGGATTAATTTATACCTCTTTAGAATGACAATGAGGCATTTTATAAAAATAAAGCATAATCAAAACATTATGTACAAAATTTAACAGACAACAACAAAGAAAGATGAAATTTTACTAAGAGTTCTGTTTATTTCCTATTAAAAAGGGTAACACCAGAAAATTGGACATACAAAAACATACTTGTTCTCCTAATTTGAATAAACCAACTGTAAAATCAACATTTTTGAGACAAAGAAATGTGAATATAGGCTGGGTGTTATTTGATATTAAAGAAGTATTGTTAACATTGTTAGGTATGATAATGACATAGTATGTAAAAATATCCTTCATAGATCCACATGGGTATTTATGAGTAAAATAACATAAGGTCTGAGATCCATTTAAAATACTTCTGCAAAAGAAGAAAAAGAGGTAGAGGAAGAAGACAGAAGAAGATGAAGATGAGAAGGTGGAGCAGAAAAAACATGACAAAGAAGATGAAGGTGACGATGAGGACAGAAGTAGAGAGAAAAAAGTGAGATAGATGGAATAGGATTGAGGAGGAGGACTGGCAAAATGATGAGTGATGGAATAGGATTGAGGAAGGGGACTGGCAAAATGATGAGTGATGGAATAGGACTGAGGAAGAGGACGGGCAAAATGATGAGTGTAGGTGATGGAAATGTGAGGACTCATTACAATATTCCCTATACCCTCATACATGTTTTTAAATTCCCCTGATCGAGTGTGTGTGTGTGTATAACCATTGCCTAAAAAAATTTCTCATAAAAATCAAAGAGCATATTTCACATTCTCCTCCATACCAAATGCCTCTTTTTCTGGTGCAAGAAGCATCCTCTGAGGCTGACAGGAATTCTCTAAGCTGAAGAGATACAAAGGAGTTGATGGGAAGGATAATCCGCCCATCGGTTCCTGACACAATATAAAGAAGAAAAGAAGAAAGTGGGTGGAAGCGACTGCCATTGTTACTCTCCTAACCTTTCCTTCTAATTATGCCAGAGCCAAGGCTCAGGTCACAAGGAAAATTATTTTGGTGGTTAACCATTTGCCCTATTTTGTATACATCAAAAAAGCTGTTGTTCTCACACATTCCAATCTCACAGTTTCCCACCCACTTTAAAAATGTATCAAGTGGTCAGATGAACTAAAATATGAATAAAATGACTATATTATGAAGAACACCTTGTTTGCAAACCTACAGATAGCCTGCTTGTGATGCTGAATTGTAAGATACACAACACTTAAACATTTAATCTACTTTATATTATTGTAGGTATTTCAGATAAATGCTCAACATGCCCCGCTTTTAAAAGTTAAATGTAAATTTCTCTCTTGAGTGCAGATGGTGGCCAAGCAAAGTAGTTCTTTGGTCTCACAGACAGAAGGTCAGGTCATGGCTGAAAGACCAAAGAACAATTGCTGCTTTGCTACTCCAAATCATCCATGGAATGAGACACCACGACTTCTTTTCTGAAACTGTCTGTTCAATACAAAACAGTTAAAAAGAGTACCTATAAGATTTCCTCACATTCCGTCTGGGAAAAAAAAATGGTAACAAGCACATCACTTCACAACACATCACAAACATCTTGTAACTGTTCAGAGGTTTTATTCCTAAAGCTGTGACCTCCTAAAAAGGCACATCTCTATCTAAAAACATACCACTAAACGTCATTATGAAAACTACTATTGTTTCACTATTATCAGAAAACGTTTACAAATGAAAACTGCTCCTTGTAAATCCTGCAACTTTAGCCTCCATACCATCACGGATTAATTAAAATGAGATTTAATACTGCAAATACTTCTAATATTGCAAATGCTTCTAAACAAGTTATTCCTTTACAAGTGATATTATACTCCTATTGTCCCTGATCTTTTTTCCTCTAGAAAATTATAATGGAATTTTAAATAACTGAGACTCTTTCCTGATGTATTTTTGCAGTTAGTCCAAAATATTATGCTGTCAGAATGCTGTAGAATAATACGAAAGGCCAAAAGTATGCCAATATATTGATTCCTTTTTAAAAAATTACAATATATCAGGAAAGAAAAGTTATCTGTGATAAACTTAGTAGACCTAGGCCTTCAGTCCCTGACAGAAAGCATTTTCCATTCCACTATCAGGCACGCCCCCAACTGGATGCAATAAAATGTTTCATTATTTGTACATGTTAATAATTAAAAGTCTTCTGAAAATGTAAAACCCATTACAACACCAAATATAGTGGTACAAAAGCAGAATTTTACTTTGGTTGCCAGGATTTTAATTTAGTACTAAGGATTTCAGTTATGACTTGAAAAGCTTTTTGTTCTAGTCTTCATTATCACTTTCATTTTCAATACTTTTCCCAATTGTCTTTGCATCATTTGTTGTAAAGACTTCATTGGCTCAAAAGAGAAAATATGTTGGAAAATATGATGAAAAACCTCGAACTAGAAACATATTTGAAAAAAAACTTATTTGGAGCGACCTACTTCTAAATTCTAAAACAATTATTTTAAAATATTGACACTAAGAACCCAGTCTTACTATTTTAATTGAATAAACAACCTGCTTTCATTGAATACAAAGAATGAAAACCTTCAAGGTCCTGTACTGTAACATAAAAATAGAAAATCAAAAGTCAGCCTATTAGAACTGCCTCTCTAAAAACTTTATCCATGTTGTCAACTAAAATTGGAGTTATCTACTTCATCTCAATAAAGATATAACATAAAACATCTGTTCAAACTGAAATTAAAGTACGCAGCTTTTATCCACTAACATTTCTAATGTCACTGTATTTAGGCTTCATGAACAAACGTATTCATGGTTATCTTAGTTAAAACTGGTTTCACTCTGCCAACAATCAATTTGATTGACATATTTACATATCAACTCATCTCATCTTACGAATTTTAAACTTTTTCATTTAAAATTGGATTCAAGTTGGCATCTTTCAAGAACTTTATGTATGTATATTTTAGGTTCAAACTGTGCATTAGAACATTTCTTTTTACTTTTGTAAGTAATAGATACACATATCCAAATGTATATTTATGACCTGTCAGATTGGAATTTTATATGCATGCTGTTGTATTCTCACCATTCATGTGAAAGGTGATAATTTTAGGCAACTATAAAAGAAATTTTCCTAACAGTGTAAACTGGATCATCCCATTAGTTAGAAACAATACAAATAAATAAATTAGGAATAAAACAACATCAACTTGAGAAAGAATGTTACTCATATCTATAATTGCTGCAATTATGCTGTGTCCTCTCTTACCTGATCTTTAATTTCAAGATCCCTGTTAGTTTTTGCTCTGAACTCTCTGTGCTCCTTTTCTGCCTCATCCTTCTCCATGTTGGTTTTATTCAGCTGATAGCGCATTTCTCCACACACCTGTTAGATTGTAAAAAACTGGATGATTACCTGCTGGAATCTACCAGGCAATGCCTGCAATTAGATCTTTTGGTGCCCCCTAGAGGTCATATAGATAAAATACAACAAAACTTTTCTAAGAATGCCATTTTCTATTAGACTATTCAACGTAGCTTGTTAAGATTCAGAAGCAACACCAGGGATTATTGATTCTAACAACTTGAAATTACAGATAAATAAATGCATAACTAAGGAATTTAAGTAATGTGCCCAAGATTATTTTATATAACAGTTTCAATTGCATATTATCAACCAAAATGCACTATCATCTAACCTTTAAATAGGTAAAGTTAGTAGTTAAAATGTTAAGCTATGTTATTATTCATTCACATTGATACAGTTAAATATTCACTCTATATTACAAAGTTTTCTTTTAAAGACTTCATCAGTTATGCTCTTTAAAAGGAAATGTATAAAGGAATTTTTGTCTGCTGATAGATATACTATTGATATCTAGGTCTGTAATATCCAGTATTGACTGCAAGGTTTGCAGATGTCATCTTATCATACACAATATGAGGTATTCAAGTTAAGGAAGATTTTCTGGCAAAAGCCATAGACTGGAACTAAGCACACTATGCACTTATGACTGTAACATTCAATATAAAAGGAAAATATGCATTTAAATGAAATAATTGTAATACGGCACCAATAATGAACACACATAGTATCTTAAAAGTGTTGTGTATCATCCTCTATACTTAACACTAAGAACTTTGTTTTATTTATTTTTTCGAATCTAGGACTGCTACAGAAATGGAAATATATTTGAAAAGTGTAATTAGCAGATAAATCTAAACAAGCAAATTATGGGCCTTTTGAGAGAACTGAGAACCTATAGAAAGTTCAATTAATGTACAAGTCAGCTAAGTTGGCTTCTAATTTACAAATATATGGCTCTTAATATATTATCTCACCGTTATGCTTTCTTGGAACTTTTCAAGTATTTGGTATTTCTCCAAAAATAATGATTTTGGAAACTTTAGAAATCAGTTTCATCATTACTGAGGTATTAGAATAGACTAAGGTATAAAACCTATATGCATTTAAGCTGGGTATGGTAGCGCATGCCTGTAGTCCCAGTTCCTCTGGAGGCTGAGGCAGAAGGATGGCTTCAGCCCAGGAGCTCAGGACTGCAGTGTACTGTGGTAGTGTCTGTGAATAGCTACTGCACTCCAGCCTGCACAATACAACAAGATCCTGTCTCCAAACAAACAAAACAGAACCTTAAAAGTAATTTTAAAAATAAATTAATCTATGTTTAAAAGCTATAGTGACAAGACAGAAGAAAAAGTCAACAGGCTTCTCCCTAGTAGCCCTCAGAAAGCTAGAACAATAATGAAGTTATTAAAAATTCTATTGGAAGTTCAAATGCCTTCAATGTGAGAGAGTTTATTCCTCCGATTTCAAAAATTATAAATTTATAAAAACTATTAATTTTAAACCTAAATAAAAATTACAAATTCAGAGTGACAGGAAAAAAATGAGGAGCCATACTTTATTTTCTTTCTCAATTGTTCACTATTAATATTTATGTCTATGAATAAAATGGAATAAAACCCCGAACTGATAACATCAGAAGATAATAATTATACAACCATGATGTTTAAAACCCAACACCAATACAAGCTGGTTATGTAAAAACTGTTTAAGCAGCAGGTCTTATTTAAAATTATTTTATCCCTTCATTTCACTCCTACAGTTCCCTGCTTTACTACTTTCAGTTCAGCATTTGCTATGTTTATCCACAGCACTCAAATTCTATTTCAAATAAATTAACACATTAAATTGAACCAGAACTATGTTATCTCCACGTTGGAAGCAACTTCAAGGCGATTTAGTCTAATCGCTCTTCTGATGTATATGTCCTTTCAGCTAGTTCTTGAGACAGAGAACTCTCTCTCTGCTGTACTGATTTCAACAGAAAGCTGCCTCTCTATTATCAACTGAAAACTGTCTTATCATAGCTTTCACCTATAAATCTAGGTTAAGTATTCCCATCCTTCTGAACTAATTCCTTCACTTCCACCCTATCTCCACACAAAAATTTGAGCTTCTTAAACTTCTACATTAGCTAATAGGAATTTTTAAAAGCAAATGGAGAATTATAGAAACTCAAGAAAAAGGGTAAAATGGCTCCCTTTCCTAATACATGTTAAAATTAATTTTAATTACTGAATTATAGAGCAACAATGGCATTACAAATATGTCAAAATTTAGGAAAATCCATTGAAGAATAAAAGGTAATATGCAAAGAGTATTTTAAGCAAATTATCTGTGTTTTTAGTGGTAAAAAATAAATTGATTTTATTAGTTTCTTAGTTTTAAAGCAATTAACTATTGAAATCTAGATGGACTTCTAGTATTTCTTACAATATGTATCTTAATCATTGCCAGTAAAGACCATTAAACATTTTAGTTCTTGATTCACGAACCAGTGATGCCCATAGCACAGACAATGTAGTATTTTAAAGTATAAATTTAAGCACCAATAAGATCATGTAGTATTAGAATCTTTATTTTAATGACCAAGTCTGAAAAGGAAAAGGAAGTGGAAGATTTTTTATGTCAAGCACACCTTTTAAGTTGTCAATATATGTCTTTGGCAATTATTGTAAACACCAACCTTATGCTATCTACGGCAAAAACAAAGCACTCTTAATTAATTTAGAAAAATGAGGTTTATCAAATATTCAATAATTAAAGTAATATAACTCTTATTTATTTGTAAGTCTGTCTCTGCCACTTAACCCTTAAGCTCTTCAAGGCCATGACTGGTGTCTAATTCATCCTTGCACATGCAATACCCACTGAGGGGCTGCATGTAGTAACTGAATGTTTGCTGAGTAACCATTAGGTGGCCTTTTATTATTCTTGAAATCACAAAACTTTTCTACTCCAAACTTCCTCCTGATAACAGTAAGAGTTTTGTACATTAGGAAAACATTTTTCAAAGGAAATATTTCCTTAAGTAACGATTACACTAAAATCTCTTTCTGTACCTTTGTGACATCCATTTCCCGAGAAGCCAGCTGGCTTTGAATTTCCTCCAGTTGATTAATAGCTGAAATCTTTTCCTTTGTAACCTTTTCCACCTGGGCCTCCAGTTGGGCAATATTCTGAGACAAGATCAACATCTGTAAGGGAAAATAAAAGTCCTAAACAATAATGTCATTTGACAAATCAAATACTAAAACTTTCTTGAATTAATAGCGTCTCAGCATAGTCACTGGGCTCTGTGAGCCATTTCTCTGTGGATTGGGTATGTTCATTTTTCTCCTTCCTCTATTCACCTATGCCCAGTGAACTGAAATATGTACTTCTCTCCTATTCATTCCCCTGATCTCTAACCTCATTTTGAAAAATGTATAACAAGATGATAAAGTCAAGGTTTTGGTTGAAACCCTAAAGTGACAGTTATCAAACACCCAATTAAGTTATGAAACAGAGTGCCATAAATAAATTCAGAGGAGATACAGAAGCATACAACTCTTAAACCCTTCTTCCACATGGAAGGTATAAAAGGACTGATGGGGAGAGTTAAGGAGGAAGTTCTTTAGAGAGAGCAACTGGTCTGCTATGGCTCCCACTACCCTTCCCGCAAACCAACAAAGAAGAGGCTCTGTGCAGTGCCCTTTGTTGGTAAAACCCCAACCGCCCCCCTATTATCTAGTTCTCCCTCATTTCTCATGTAGGTTTCAGCTCAGCCATTATCTCCTCTCCTCTAGGAAGTCTTCCTTGACTCCAGTTCCCAGCACAAAATAGGTGACCCTTCCCACGTTCAGGGTTGATATTCAGCTTGTGTGCACTGAGACAGTCATGCCTGTTGTTTGTAGCCTGTGTCCACTCTCACTGTTTCCCACACTGTAAAGATTAATATTTTGAATATCACTATGGCATGTGCTCCTACAATCTCAGTATATATACCTCCATCACACCACAACCTCTGTGTACCTCAACCACAGTACTCATCCCACTGTTTTTAGTTGTCTGTTTCCTCATTAGAGTAGAAGTTCCTCAAGAGGTACCAAATATTTGATGAATGAGTAAATACTTAGAATAAATGGCTTTCCAATGGACTCTATGGGTATTAGGTTCTCAGTTTTTCTTCTCAAGATTAGAAATGCTTTCTAGATCTTAGATTTATCCTTTATAGTTTCTGGTTTCCAATTATGTTTTGTTCTTTTCCAGGAAGTCACTCTTCTAGGCTCTTAATGTCATACTGTACTGGCAGTTTTTAAAATGTAGAAGCAGCAGAACATATAGGAATACCTATCAATTTTTATCTGTTAAAACAAGAACTGGTGACACATTTTAAATAATGATGCTTGAAACTTACCATTGTATGCTGACATGGGTGTGAATTCAGTTTTATAACTTAAATCAATTACTAAAATTCTATGATAAAAATCAACATTGAACCAAAGTTTTAGTAAATTAAGAACCTGACATCAATAAAACGAAGATAGGTGTCTGCCTTCGAACTACAGAACTAGTTAAAGTTGACCCTATGAAAATAATTTAGGCAGATATATTAATTAACTTTCTGAAGGTAGTGGAGAATTTCATATTTGACTTATGGTTTTTTACACATCCCTATCATCAAAGGATTGTCTACAAATCTAATTTTCACATACAATTAGCTTTACTAATAACAAACTAAAAAATATTCTTGGGCACATTACAATATAAAACTAAGGTTGAAAAGAAGTTAAATATAACATCAAAAATATCAATTTCATTTCAATTTAAAATTTCGAGTTCATGAGCATATATATTATGAATGTGTAATTATAGCTTTTCTGGAACCATATGACAGGAACAAACTTTAATTACCAGCTACTAAAAATCATATTTTACTTATTTATGTGGACATACATAACTGATGGTAAACAACATTGTATGGTTTTTGAAGTAAATATACCGACATTTATTTTGCTAATTATAAATTCTAGTCCATTTCTCTTCTAAGGCATGTCACAAATCTCTCCCCTTCCTTAGGATTCCTCCCTCTGCCACCCATCATTCCCTTCCTCTGCCCACTAGCTGTCTGCTCCCTCCTGCCGCCCACCCCACTTTCTGAGGTCCTCTGCCCACTAGCTGTCTGCTCCCTCCTGCCGCCCACCCCACTTTCTGAGGTCCTCTGCCCACTAGCTGTCTGCTCCCTCCTGCCGCCCACCCCACTTTCTGAGGTCTCCCCTCCTGTTGTCACACCTTCTTTTCCTCCCCACCCACCATCTGGAAGTCAACATTACACGGCAGGAGCTTCTCCATCCACATCTGTTGCAGAGCCAGAAGTAACACAGACACAGCTGCAACACTGCTGGATGTCCAGGACGTTGACATCAGGTGAGTCCTTTAAACTTTGACAGGGGCAAGGAAGAGACAAGGACACCCAGGTTGGGAGAGGCTGATAGAAATTTCTGCAGAGCAGTCCCTAGTGTATTGAACCTGGTATGAAGCTGTACTCCCTATGCAAGAGATACAAGAATTAAGGATTTTAACAATGGATACTGTCAAGGAAAGCAATTGAGAAAACGTGTGGACCTCAGGGGGTGCTCAATAAATAAATGATCAATGACTGAATGAAGTAACAAAGCTGAGTGCTCAGTGCAACACCAAGGACCATTATTGAAGATAACACACAAACTCACAGCAAGAACTGTTGATGGGGAATGATTCAAACCTGTCTAGGTAGAAGGCATCTGTTCTCCGACAGCTTCCCACACAAATGGAATTTAAAAAAAAAAAAAAGAAAAGTAAGGGAGGAATAAAAAAAACATAGAAAGAAAGAAAATCTATACGTTTCACAAGTATTCCTACAGTTAGGAAAGCAGAGATTCTTGTTCTAGCACTAACTTTAACTGCCTAGCACTTACAATGTTATGATTAACTGGTCAGTCATTATGTTCTTGGGCCAGGCAGTGTGATATGCATTCTCTCTTTAAATCCCCTTAGAAAGGCCGGGCACTGTGGCTCATGCTTGGAATCCTACTGCTTTTGGAGGCTGAGGCAGGAGGACTGCCAGGAGTTCAAGACCAGCCTGGGCAACATAATGAGACCCCAATTCTACAATTTTTTTTTTTAGTTAGCCAGGCAAGGTGGCACACGCCTGTAGTCCTAGCTACTTAGGAGGCTGAGGCAGGGGGATTGCTTGAGCCAAGTAGTTTGAGGATACGATGAGCTATGATCACACCACTGCACTCCAGCCTATGTGACACAGTGAGACCCTGTCTCTAATAATAATTAAATCCCCTAGAGAAGGAATTATATGGAATTAATTTTCATTTGAAAAAATGAGATTCAGAAAACTAAGTAACTTGCCCAAGTTCATTCAAACTAATAAGTAAAAGGTAAAGCTGGGCTTTATATAAAAGTCTGTCTGCTTTTACTAACATGAAGGGCCAAGAAATCTATCCAAGAAGGCTCCGTCTCTCTTTCTCTAAAACAACAGCCACAAGCTAAAATTTATTAAATGCCCACGGTAAGTCAGACATTATATTAGATATTTTCTAAACATTATCTCACTTAATCCTATCAATTCTTGATGTATTATTAACTTTATTTACTCCTCTGAAACTTAGAGAGGTTAAGTGAATTGTTCAAGGTCACAGAAAGGTCAAGCTGGATTCAACTCTAAATCCTTTTACTCCAAAACCACTTTCTGCCATTTCCTGGTGAGAGCTGGGACCTCAGTGCTAGGACCACTGTGAGCTCTTTATTCATACATCTTTATTTAGAGCAGGATCTTGAGATCAAATGTCAGCCAGGGCTTACTAGGGACAAAATCAACTTCAATGACTCTAGCTCAGATATGTATTGTATCGAATAGAGATCCAGAAATAAAGCCACACACATACAGCCATCTGATCTTTGACAAACTTGACAAAAATGTGCAATGGGGAAAGGATTCCCTATTCAATAAATGGTGCTAGGATAGCTGGCTAGCCATATGCAGAAGAATGAAACTGGGCTTTTACCCTTTACCATATACAAAAATTGACCCTAGATGAATTGAAGATTTAAATGTAAGATATCAAACTATAAAAATCCTAGCTGAAAACCTAGGAAACACCATTCCGGGTGTTTCCTACATGGGCCTTGGGAAAGAATTTATGACTAAGTTCTCAAAAGCAATTGCAACAAAACCCACCAATTGACAAGTGGGACCTAATTACACCAAAGAGCTTCTGCACAGCAAAAGAAACTATCAACAGAGTAAACAGACAACCTACAGAATGGGAGAAAGTACCCACAAATTATGTATCAGACAAAGGCCTAATATCCAGAATCTATAAAGAAAGTAAACAATTGAACAAGCAGAAAACAACCCCATTAAAAAATGAACAAAAGACATGAACAGACACTTCTCAAAAGAATACATACAAATGGCCAACAAACATGAAAAAGTGCTCAAGATCACTCATGAATGATATGGTTTGGACTTCTGCCCCCGCCCAACTCTCACATCACACTGTAATCCCCGATGTTGGAGGGGGGCCTGGTGGGAGGTGATTGGATCGTCGGGGCAGTTTCCCCCTGGCTGTTCTCATGATAGCGAGTTCTTACAAGATCTGGCTGTTTAAAAGTGTGTAGCGCTTCCCCCTGCTCTCTCTTCCTCCTGCTCCAACCACAGAAGACATGCCTGCTTCCCTTCCACCATGACTGAAAGTTTCCTGAGGCCTCCCCAGCCATTCTTCCCGTTCAGCCTGCAGAACCATGAGCCAATTAAAGCTCTTTTCTTTATAAATCACCCAGTTTCAGGTATTTCTTTATAGCAGTGCGAGAACAGACTAAAACACTAATCATCATAGAAATGCAAATCAAAACCACAATGAGATCCCATTTCACACCAGTCAGAATGGCTGTTATTCAAAACTCAAAAAACAACAGACCATGCAGAGAAAAGGACACTTCTGCTCTGTTGGTGGAATGTACATTAGTTCAGCCACAGTGGAAAGCAGTTTGGAAATTTCTCAAATAACTTAGAACCTACCATTCTACCAGAAATCCCATTACTGGATATATATTCAACAGAAAACAAATTGTCTTACCAAAAAGACACATGTACTTACATGTTCATTGTAGCACCATTCACAATAGCAAAGACATGGAATCAACCTAGGTGCCCATCAAGAATGGACTGGATAAAGAAAATGTGGTACATATACACCACTGAATACTATGCAGCCATAAAAAAGAATGGAATCAGGTCTTTGGCAGGAACATGGACGCAAGTGGAGGCCGTAGTCCTAAGTGAATTAACGCAGGAACAGAAAATCCAATACTGCATGTTCTCACTCACAAGTGGGAGCTAAGTATTAGGTACTCACGGATATAAAGATAGCAACAACAGAAACTGGGGATGACTAGAGAGGAGAGGGAGGGAGTGGGGTAGGGGTTGAAAAACTAACTATTGGGTACTATGCTTATGTAGGGGGTGACAAGATAATTTGTAAACCAAACCTCAGCATCATGCGATATACACAAGTAAAAAACCTGCACATGTACTCCCTTGAATCTAAAAGTTAAAAATAAATAAATAAATAAATGATACATAAAAAATGTGCTGCATTTCTGTCACCACCTTTATTCATGAAACAACTGTCAGTAAAAGAGAGGTTCTGTTACATATGAAGGCACCTGGAATACTGCCAGGCACACTTCAGCCTTCGTTTTTCCTTTCTTATCAGGAATTCTCATCAACATACTTCTACACAGTAGAACTACTCAGCAAGGCAAATGGTTTCCAGCAAACAACCAAAAAATACAAATTTCCTAGGCGTGAACAATAGCTGGTGTTTGCTATTGATACCATTCTCTCTCACACAACACTCAATTCGCAACTTCATCTCCCTTCCATGTCTTATTCATATTGGTTACAGGTGGCGTTCCTTCCCCCATACTCTGCGTTTCTAAACCCCATCTATTCTTGGAAGCTCAACGAAAATGCCATTTTTTCCCCAAAGCCTTCCATGATCTCTTGCAGACAATCAGTTCTGATCCTCTGAACTCTCAGCATTTTAGCCATAACTTCCCAATGGCATAGGGACTTTTTTCTTTTCCTTGTAATTCATTCCTTCATTCATCTAATATATACTGAGCACATTTTACATGAGAGGAATGTGCCAGGCATTGAGGATGTTACATGCAAGGGACTCACTGAACTAGGGGAGGCAAGCTATTCGACATGAATTTGTAATGAAGTGAGCTATGGGAGCCCACAGGAGACGGTCCCAATTCAGCTATGGGAGGCGCGGAGACGAGGTGGTACCAAGAAAAGTTCTGGGCCACGCGCAGTGGCTCACGCCTGTAATCCTAGCACGTTGAGTGGCCAAGGAGGGTACATTGCTTGACCCCAGGAGTTCGCGATCAGCCTGGGCAACATGGCAAAAACCTGTCTCTATAAAAAACACAATTAGCCAGGCATGGTGGCACACCTCTCTAGTCCCAGCTACCTGGGAAGCTGAGGTGGGAGGATTACCTGAGCTCAAGTGGTCGAGGCTAAGTGAGCTGTGAACACCCCACTGAGCTCCAGCCTGGGTGACAGAGTGAGACCCTGTCTCAAATACAAACAAACAAACAAACAAACAACTCTGAAGAATCAGTTAAAGAGGGCAGAGGAAGACTCCTCTAGGCAGAGGGCAAAGCACATGCAATATCCTGCACTGGAAAAAACAGTATGGAAGAGAGGCATATGTACATGCTTGGGGAAGCACAAGTAGGTCAGTGTGGTGAGGGTGCAAAGAAGAAAAATGAAGGAACATAAGACCGGAGAGCCAAAGAGAGGAACAATATTGTAGAGTCTTCATGCTATGATAAAGGATCCTAAATTTTATTCAAGGTTGCAGGGAGACGTGAAAGGAGTTTTAAAGCAAGAGACTGACATATTGAGAAAGATCATCCCAGCTGCAGTTTGGAGAACAGATAGGAAGGAGGTGAGACTGGAGGCAAGGACACCACAGGGGCTATAGGAACCATCCAAGGATGAGATATGGTAGCAGTAGGATAGAGAGACAAGGCAATGTAAATGCTCAGGGGCTTAAGTCTTAGAGCCTGGTGATGATGAGATGTGTGGGGTGAGAAAGACGGGGGAGAAAAGGGTGACAAGATTTCTGTGCTGGATAACTGGATAAATAGTGGATCCACTGGGATAGGAGGTGGAAAGTAAAGCTGGTTTGGGAGCTCAGTATACAGTTAAGGATCTAGAAATCAAATAGCTTTAGTCTTGAAGCTTTAGGTCCTAAGGCTATATATACATGGAATTCAAGCTATAGTACTGCTAAAGACACCTAAATCTTTAGCTCCCTGCTAAACTCCAGAACCTCCTATCAAGCTGCTTTCTGGATGTGTCTCCTTTATTGTCTCAAAGGCACTTTAAACTCAGAGTAATGTAAAAAGCACACATCATCATTCTCCCAAATCAAGAATATGAATTCAAAGAAATCATAGAGAATCTTTTAAGGAGAATAAGACTGAAAAAAAATCAGTAAATATAGTGTAAACAGATCTTCAGTGAACATAGCAATGGTAATTTCACTGGCTGTGGCATGGAAGTTGAAATGCAGTGGGCTGAAGAGTAAGTGAGAGGTGACAAAATAAAGACAACATGTATGGACAAATCTTTCAAGAAACTCGACTATTAAGAGAAAGAGTCAAAGAGGGAGATGGAATTACTGACGTGGTTTCCAACCTTGGCTGCACATTGGAATCACCTAGGTGAGTTTCAAACACACTGACACCTGGATGCTTCTCTCAGACATTTTGATGTAATGGGTGTGGGGTACTGTTTGGACAATCAGATTTTTAGAACTTCTTGCGTGCCAAAAATTAAGAACCACAGATTAGAAGAAAGATTGTTCCTTTCAACAGTAAGAGACATCTGAAAATATTTTCCTGAGGATAAGAAAGAGACTGTAGTGAAGGAAAGATTGATTCAGAAAAGTGGAACAAACAAATGGAATGAGTTCCTTGAGGGGGTGAAAGGAGACGAGGTCCATGGGAAGGGGAAGGGATTAGGAAGACACCTTTCCCATTCAGACTGGGTTGGAATACAGGTGAAAATTTATTTTAAGGCATGGACAAGAGAAATAGTTGAGGTGGTCATCACCCAACGGCTTCCATTTTCTTTGTTAGTTAAGTAAGGCTCTCTGCTGAGAATAAGAGGAAAAATGGTATTATAGAGAATTTGAGAAGAACAAGTGATTTGAAACAGTCTTTAAAGAAATGCATTTAAGATACCATCACTTCCCACCTGGACTACGATAATCACCTCCAGACCTGGACTACGATAATCACCTCCAGACCTGGACTACGATAACCACCTCCAGACCGGGACCACGATAATCACCTCCAGACCTGGACTACGATAACCACCTCCAGACCGGGACCACGATAATCACCTCCAGACCCGGACCACAATAATCACCTCCAGACCTGGACCGCGAAAATCACCTCCAGACCTGGACCGCGAAAATCACCTCCAGACCTGGACTGCGATAATCACCTCCAGACCGGGACCGCGATAATCACCTCCAGACCGGGTCTGTGATAATCACCTCCAGACTGAGACCGCAATAATCACCTGCAGACCTGGACAGCAATAATCACCTCCAGACCGGGACCGTGATAATCACCTCCAGACCTGGACTGCGAAAATCACCTCCAGAGCTGGATTATGATAATCACCTCCAGAGGGGGATTATGATAATCACCTCCAGACCTGGACTGTGAGTCACCTCCAGACCTGGACTACGATAATGACCTCCAGCTGATCTCCAGGCATCTATTCTGCTTCTCCTTCCAATCCACTGACAAAATGATTTTTCTCAAATATAAATGGCATCGTGACACTGACAAATTCAAAGCCATTCAATGGCTTTCCATCCCTTTTTGGACAAAATTGAAAATCCTTCATATGGATTTTAAAGCCATTCATGATTCCATCCCAACATAATTCTCCAAACTCATTCCCACTACTCTGCTCCTCTCTCTCTATGCTCCACCCATCAGGGCCTTCTCCAAATTCCTAGAAAGTGCGATGCTTTCCAGGTCCAGAGTCTTGGGTGTGTTATATTCCTGGGCCTGAAACCCTCTTCCCCTCTTCACCTGTCCATTCATCAATGCTTTCAGGTCTCATTTTCAACATCTCTTACTCAGGAAAGTCTTTCGTGACTGCCTAGACAAGGTCAGATTCCTGTTACACATTCCCACGATATCCTAAACCGAACCTTATGGCTTTATCACAATGATGATCGAAAACTCACTTATGAAAACATTTGTGTAACATCTACTTCTCCTACGAGTTTGTAAGCTTCATGAGGAAACTGCATCGTTCCTGTGACTACAACATTCCCAGCCCCTCTGGTTAATATCTGTTGAGTGTGGAATGAATAAGAGAGAGGAAGGCAAAAGAGGACTGCTAGAAAGCACTGAAAGGACCGTGGACACCGAAGACCTGGAGTCTACAGCCATGTCATCTGCAAGGCTGTGTGATTTTTACCAGCAGAGATCACCAATCCAGGGCAGAGAAGGTAGGTAGTAGGGTTTTGACAGACACAATTTTTAAAAATGGATAAGAAGACAAGGACATTTACAGGAAATGCCTGAGTTTACTCTTATTAAGACTTAAAACTCATAGGGCAGAAGTTGTGATTTTTCTCTTTACATATCTTTAGGCCTCCACATTGCTTTGCACACAGCACATACTCAGTATATACTTACTGAATAAGTTAATTATCACACATTGAATCTGATAACAACATAGCATTTAGAGTACAAGCTGTGAGTCCACTTTTAAAAACAAACATGTAACACAGTTGTTTTGGTTACTTGATGGACCACAACTTGCTCAATTCGAGTCTAGTTAGCAATTTTAAAGCTAGGTCCCACTCAACTCTGTATTCTAGTTTGTGAACTCCTTTTCAAACACTGCTTGTTTCATGTTATCTGTTCCTTTTGCCTTAAATCTCTCCCTTCATCTGGTTACCGTCATTATTCATCATGTAATTTGTCAGAACTGATTTCATACAGAGTGCATAATCACTTTTTCTTGGTTACTCAGTTCCTTACAAGTGTTTCATCTTCTGCATATTTAATTTAGGGGTAGGAGATAATGCAGGGGAAGTCATCTCTCCTTGATTTAGCCAAGGTTGAAATAAAATCTGGGTATCTTCATAGCACGACTCTGGGAAACACGAGAGAGGGAATCCAACAGAATGGCAGGATTTAAAGTAAATTTTGTAATTTCATTGTATGGAATCTAACTGATTATTTTATTTGAAAAGATCAGCATAAACTATTGAGAAATATATGAAAAGATAAAACATTTTTATGAATTCTAAATTATACGAAATTTAACTACTTATATAATAACGATTTTAAAATTTAAAGTTCATTCAAGAACTCCAGCCTATGGAATCATCAATGGCATCATAAAAAACCTTTCTTCTGCAATGTGGATAACAGCAGAGTCCTTAAGTACCTTTGATCCCATGTACTCCCTTTCTTTCGTTATTTCCTTTTTCATCATGTCTTTCTCAATGGCCCTTTTCTCTTGCTGAGATGCAAGTTCTTTTTCAAGTCGCTCCGCCTGCCTCTCCAGCTCCTTCCTCAACTGGTCACACTGGATTAAAGCCTGCCAGGATAGAACAGATTGAAAGAGGAGGTTAGAATTTGGAAAAAATATAGGTAAAATGACATAATTAAGCTTTAAGTATATTTAAAATAGCAAAAACTCACTATAAAGCCCATTAGAATAATTTTTTATTGTTTATCAATACCACTTATTGACCTAAAAGAGTATCCAAATGTTACATTTATTGACATATTTCAATTTTCATGATTAAAGCCATATTAATTAATCAATGACAAAATTCAGGTAATGAACCTTGATGACGGCCACAGATGAGTCAGAATTTTAAAAAAGGGAACCAGAAACACCAAGTGTTCTAATATTTTCAATTATATATCATGTTTATACTACACGAAATACGTAAGTATCCAATTTAACTGATTTCTTATTTGCTCATGGATAAAAATTATTGGAATACTTCAAATGATAGATCAAAATACTAAAATGAAATGTTGAATATATCATTACACACAGGCATCTTTTGTTTAATACTATATAATAATCAAGTTTCCTTAAATATAACTAAGAGAAAATTTAGTTCACTCCCCTTAAACATACAACTGAAGTAAAAATTATGTAATAATCGTAAGTTAAATGGAAAGACTCAAGACAGTATTCACTACTTAGTTTTATAAGGATCTTCCACTTCTGGTAAAGTTCATGATTGTCCTTTACTGTAAATTTCCCACTCTGCATTTCCAGAAATAAAAAATCTCTAACTTCATTTTGGCCACTTTTACAATATCTTTATTTATAACACCCAATAATGAAATATGACTTCAAAAATCCCAATTTGGGGAGGTCTTTTTTTGTATAAATATATGGGGTACAAATGTAATTTAGTTACATACACAGATTGCATAGTAAAATCCCAATTTTTAAAAATCCTAATAAAAGTAAGGTACTATAGTATCTTATAGTCTTATTCCAGTGGCCCTTATGTACAATATCCACCTCACACAACCTCTCTTTTCCCCTGAAATGGTAGAAAGAACCCCAGGTCTCATGTGACTTACATGCTGTATGATTAGAAATTTCATAGTCACATTTGATTTTAATGGAGATGGAAATGGCCTTAGTAAGCACTGTAAGTTTTATGCATAGTTATGCTTCCCTCTGGTGAAAGCTATAATAAATACAGACAATAAATATCTAGGATATGTGAATTTTCCTCTCTTCATCTGGAAAGCATTAAACTCCAGTTTCTTTTGGTCTCTTCTGAAAAGTTTCTATGCTCCCAGGCATAAAATATAAAGGTAAAATTCAGTTGTCTCAGATTAACTAATAAACAAATACAATGAGTAAAAAGTGATTCTTCTAGGGAATTAGTCCCAAGTCAAAATTCCAGCCGAGAATGCCTGGAAAAGGAAATTTTAAATTAGATATTAAAATAAATGAAAAGGCATACTTTTTCTATAATTTAAGCCCTTGGAGCTTGAAATATGAATGAGTTACTTTTGTGATTCAAAATGTAATTGCTCTTGTGAAAAATATTTCACATGAATTGAGTAAATGTTCATAACTCTCCCTGATATCATGAATGCTACTGGTATGAATAGACAAAACGCTTACTTAATATAAACCAATATATCCAATCAGAAAGTTTTCAACTGAACAAAAACTCAGGAGTCATCATCATTAAGTATAGGAACAGCAGAAGAGACTGAAGATCTAAAACCAGGCTACCATGAAAGGCACCTACAGAATCAATTCAAAGAACTCAGTCAACTAAAGAACAAGCAACAGTAAATAATCCTGGCAGGATAAGAGGTGTAATGCCAAGATAGGATGATACAGTGAAAAGCACAAAGTGAGAAGCTGTAAAATCATGTAAACAAAACCACTGCTGAGGCCTTGGTTTTGTGGATGGTCTTCTCTCTATTAGGAATGGCCACCACCAATGGCTGATGATGAGTAATGGGCAACAAAACACTGAATAAAAATATTAGGTTAAAAACTGGTTATTGGCTGGGCGTGGTGGCTCACGCCTGTAATCCCAGCACTTTGGAAGGCTGAGGCGGGTGGATTGCTTGAGGTCAGGAGGTTGAGACCAGCCAGGCCAACATGGTGAAACCCCGTCCTACTAAAATATGAAAATTAGCTGAGCCAGGTGGTGCGTGCCTGTAATCCCAGCTACTAGGGAGGCTGAGGCAGGAGAATCGCTTAAACCCAGGAGGCGGAGGTTGCAGTGAGCCAAGATGGTGCCACTGCACTCCAGCCTGGGCAACAGAGTGTGACTCCGTCCCCAAAAAACACACAAAACAAACAAACAAACAAAAAACTGGTTACTGATGTCTCTTAGCGTGTAACCAACAATTCCATATTATCAAATAGCTTCTAAGGCCGGGCACAGTGGCTCATGTCTTTAATCCCAGCACTTTGGGAGGCTGAGGCAGGCGGATCACGAGGTCAGGAGATCGAGACCATCCTGGCTAACACGGTGAAACTCTGTCTCTACTAAAAACACAAAAAATTAGCCGGGTGTGGCGGCGGGCACCTGTAGTCCCAGCTACTCAGGAGGCTGAGGCAGGAGAATGGCGTGAACCCGGGAGGCGGAGCTTGCAGTGAGCTGAGATCGCACCACTGCACTACAGCCTGGGCGACAGAGCGAGACTCCATCTCAAAAACAAACAAACAAAACAAACAAACAAACAAAAATAGCTTTTACTTTTATTTGCTTTGATTTTAACGTATATGTCCGGTCACAGTGAAGAAAACAGAAAAGCGTAGTAACACTTGGAATCAGAAAAATGATTTATTCTTTCTAAAGATAACTCTCTCACACTGGACCGCACATACTAAAAGATTTGGGTCTAGTAAACAATTATTTATACACTATCTCCATTAAAGCTCTCTCTTAATTCTAGAGTTTCTTCTCCTAGTTTCAGAATCCCTGTCGATTGAGTACCCCTATAACCATTCAGTAAAGACATAATAACTGACTTCTCAAAGGCTAGGTCAGTAAACAATCAACTATCATCAAATGATTATAATTTTAATTTCTACAAAATTATAAATTATAATTTTAATTTCTACAAAATTATAAATTATAATTTTAATTTCTACAAAATTATAATTATAATTTTAATTTCTACAAAATTATAAATTATAATTTTAACTTCTATAAAATTATAAATTTCTATAAAATTATAAATTATAATTTTAATTTCTATAAAATTATAATTATAATTTTAATTTCTATAAAATTATAATTATAATTTTAATTTCTATAAAATTATAAATTATAATTTTAATTTCTATAAAATTATAAATTATAATTTTATAGTAACTGAATGCTATAAACAGGCAATTACCATTAAATGATAGATCTTTATAGGTGACAAAGTTAATTTGGGGCCTGCGGCTGTTATTTCTCTCAGTAGTTCCCAAGTCCTGGCTTCTCTCCCTTTCCCTGAACACGGCCCTTTCCTTGGTGGAAATGGCTGTAGGTCTTGAGAAGTTGGGGAATTATACATTCCCCCCACCCAGCAGACTCATTCCTGAAGGTACCTTTTCTTTTCTGGGAAATTTCTTTAGCTGTGGTCATTCTGTGTTGACATATTAACACTTTTTTTCAAACACAGTTTATTGGACTTGATATTCCCAGTCCTGGTTTTATTAAGCCAAAGGGTAGGCACTACTATCTTAGGCAGTCAAAATATTTTCGAAAACAAAATTTATATCTAGTCAACTAAAATTTTAAAACAGGAAACCTATTGTAGATCATATAAAAGTCCTTCCCAACTGCTAGGGTTAGTTTTCAAGAAATCTTTGTGACAGAATAATTCATAACTAAGGAATTAAGATCTTATGAAAAATATACAGCTCACACCTTTGAACATAAACTTTAAAGCTTACAAACATTTTTATTTTTATGAATAAAGCCCACAAAATTAAAAAGATTAACACATTTCAAACATCTAACTTATGAATAATGCAAACTATTGATTTTAATTTATAAACCCTTGCTAACCAGAAATTTATCAGTCTATCCCTATGTACCATTTTTCAAGATATTTACACTTCTTTTGGGACAGATAATGTGCAAATCAAGAAGCGTTATTTTCTATCCTTGTGACTATAACCAAATAGTCAATGCTTTTCTGATTTTATTTTTAATCCAGGTTTCTAATTCCTGCCTTTCTGACTCCCTGTAATCCAAGAAACAGAATAATTTGGATATTTGAAAAGGGAGAAAAAGTCTTTGTAAATATTTGTTCAACCTACCAGGCTGCTGTTTTAAAAACTAATCTTCAGAATATCACATGTAACCCATAAATATGTACAATTATTATGTATACATAATAATTAACTTTTTTAAAAAGTTCACACCACTTACCCACAAAGATATATGGCAGGATAGGTCTTAGCAAATTGGAAATACATACTTTGTTCAAGTTGTTATGAGTAAAAAAGAAAATTTTTTTTTTCCTTAGAGGGTTATATCATTACAGATATGCTTATGGTAACTTCATGCCACAGCCTGTGCCTTCAGGCCTTTACACATACCTCTCAACAATTTCCCTTCCAACACAAGCAGGCAGGCCTAAGGCCTGGTTAACCTTTTCATCTGCTTCGTGTAGCTTTTTATCAAGGTGTGACTGCACAAGCCTCTACTTTTTCTCTCCATTTAGTCCCAGGTGAATTCTTTTCCTCTTTTAAAATTATCACCAATTGAAATAACTTCCATTTTCAAACAAAAATATTTATTGAGCACCTACTAGGTGCCAGATACTTTGCTAAGTGGTATACATGGATTATTTAACCCTCTCAATACATTTTAATTGGTTCTTATCACTCAATTGAAGAAACTGGTACTTTGAGACATTCAGTAACTTGCCCAAATCAGAGACCTAGAAAGTGGTGAGAGTAGGGAGTTTATCCAAGGTAGTTCCACACAAGAATGTTTGCATGGCATTATATACTTCTCAAGTTATATATTTATTTTCTTATAAAATCCTCAGGCATTTTCACTGCCACAAAGAATGTAAATATATAATTCCTTCTATTTAGCATGTGATACCCAAATGCCACACTAGATGGCAACAAACGTCAAGGAACTAAACCAAGTAACCATTTCATCACTCAGTAATATAAGTAGTTGGGTTTTAAATTAAAATATGTATACCACCTGGCTTTTTAATGCACTTAGAAAGCAAAAATTCTAGTGTGTTTCAACATACCTTCTAGATAAAAAGTACTAGACTTGCAATACATTTTGTCCTTGCATTCATTATTACTAATTTACTGAAAATGCTATAGATTCCTAATGAACAATAGTGTTGCTTGCTCTCAGTTATTAAATTTTTTAAAAAATTAATTACAAATTTCACATTAATAATAATTGACTTCCACTGAACAAACATTTATTGTTAATTAAGACGTAAATGGTCATGTGTGAAATACAATGATAGATGTCACAGACCTGATTTCAAGGTCTTCTGGTGGAGAAAACTGTGTAAACAACTACCAAAATTATACACCACATCAACAGGAATACAGAGGAAAAAGAAGTTAATTCAAACAAGAAGGGGCTGGGGAAAACTTCAGGAAGACTGCCACTTGAGTTGAGCCTCATAGATTGAACAGATACTTCATAGATTATTACAAGGCAGAAAAATACAGCATGTGCAAATCAATGAAAATGGCCAACTGCAGGTCATGTTCTGGAAACAGTGAAGGTGACATGAAAGAGTAGAGTGAAAGAGAAGACTAGCAAAGTTAGAATGGGGCCAGATTTGTCTTTTATTCTACTGCAAGAGGGGAGCTACCTAAACAGGGAGATTTATAACTCAGGAACTATAAATGTTATGAGAGCACTGTGAAAAGTATGCTGGAATTAGATGAAATTTGAGGGAAACCAATTAGAAAGCTATTGTAATTGTCTGCATACTTGGTATAAGAATACGTGAAGTATACCACTGGACACGGTGGCTCACACCTGTAATCCCAGCACTTTGCGGGGCTAAGGAGGGAGAATCAGCTGAGCTCAGGAGTGCAAGGCTGTAGTGAGATATGACCGCACCACTGAGCCTGGGTGACAGAGTGAGGCCCTGTCTCTGAAAAAAAAAAAAAAAAAAAAAGCATGTGAAGATGTGAAGCCTTGAACCAGGGCAGTGGTATAAGAATGAAAAGGTAGGCATAGTTAAATAGAAATTTGACTCTGAAGAGAGAGAGAAAGACCTTGGGAACTGATGGAATGTCAAGAGCAAGCATAGGGAAGAACCGAGATGTTTTAAAGAATGCAAGCCAGGACTGCGGTGAAGATGGTGATGCCTTTGTTTGAAGACGATCATAGAGAAAATGGTAGAAAGAAAAGGAGTGGTAGATGGGAAGGCGGAGCCAATGAACGGTTTGGTTGTGTAGAGTTTCAGACGCCAGCAGTGTATCATCCATAAAAAAAGATCTAGTAGCAGCAAAACACGTAGGGCTGGGGCTCAGGAGAGCAGTTAAAGCTAAAGGCATAATGTGGGTGTATTCACTGGTAATATTTGGCCACGTGAGGAGAAATGAATCCCAGGAAGTCAAGGCAACATGGGAGGAGGGCTGGGAACTAACTCTGAGGAACGTCCACACTTAAGACTTGTGGAAACCAAGAAACAAGTTAAAAGAGACTTAAGAGTAGACAAGAATGGTACAATGTGGACCCATGAGAGTAACATATCAGCTAAATCAAGGGAAAGAGATGGTATGTTATGATAGGCCAGTTAACAGGGTTCCAAATCTATAGAGTTTAAGTCCAATGAGGATTGAGATGAGGTCACTGGGTTTGGTAATCAGGAAGTGACCAGTGATCATGAAGCGAGCACTTCAGTAACATAAAATCAGGCTACAGTTTGTTCAAAGCCTGGCTGCGATGCACTCAGAAGTGAAAGGAAAGCTACCAGGGTGGACAACTGTTGTGAGATGTCTGCCAGTGAAATGAGGAATGGACGGTAATAAACGAAGTGAAAGATGATCACAGGAAAGCTGCTTTTTGTTTACTTAAACAAAGGCTGTGGGCAGGATGAGGGGGAAAAACAGTGGAGAGAAAAGGATAAAGGATGCAAGAAAAATGTGATGACATAGAAGTGGGAGACATCAAAAACGGGGAGAAAGATGTTCATCTTGGGAAATAAGAGGGCCAGAAAAGAAAGGAGAAATAAGGAGAGGAGACATTCGAGGGATGAGAAGATGCTGAGGAGGCTCTTGTCAGTTGGTCCTAATCTTAGTAAAGTGAGAAGTAGGTCATCCGAAGAAAGTGACGTGCCAGCAGTGGAGTTGGAAAAGTGAGGAAAGTGGAGTTCCTGACTAGAGTATATAAGGTCTTCAACTGCAGAGAAAAGAATTGTTCAACAGTACCTACAACCACTGAAGGTGACTAGTATTACTCTTCAGTGGAACTCATTAAGTGGCTTTTTTTTTTTTTTAAGATGGAGTCTCACTCTGCTGCCAGGCTGGAGTGCAGTGGCGTGATCTCAGCTCACTGCAACCTCTGCCTCCCGGGTTCAAGCAATTCTCCTGCCTCAGCCTCCCGAGTAGCTGGGACTACAGGCGCACACCACCATGCCCAGTTAATTTTTGTATTTTTAGTAGAGACGGGGTCTCACCACATTGGCCAGGATGGTCTCAATCTCTTGACCTCGTGATCTGCCTGCCTCAGCCTCCCAAAGTGCTGAGATTACAGGCGTGAGCCACTGCGCCCGGCTATTAAGTGGCTTTGTTAAATGACTTCCTTTAGCAATGCTTGGGAGGCTTGAACTAGCTATTAAAAAAAAAAAAAAGTGTGATTGGGCCTAATTTTCACTGGGTACTTTTGCTGGCAAAGTAGGTAAGCTGGAAAGATAAGAATAAAGGCACTGTAGAGTGCTAGTGAGAACTGAGTTGCAATTTCCTTCCTCAGTGGATATTTACTGAGTACCTATTTATTATGTGTTGAGATCTACGCAAGATGCTACGGATTTAACAGTGATCAGGGTGGAGAAATTCCGTAACACCAGAGATTTTGTAACCAAGGGACTAGTGCAGACTGATTAACCATTGTTTAAGTTGTTACAGATAGCACTGAGCCAAAATTGCAAGTCATGTAGTCCAGGCATGTGCAATGGGAAAAAGCTTTAACCTCCTAATTGTTTTTACTTTATTTTTAATTTTTGTTGAGTACATAGTAGATGCATATATTTCTGGGGTACATGAGAGGTTTAACCTCCTCATTGTGATTACCACCACCCTGGCAGACTGGCTGCACTGGTATCACCTGGGGCTACTTAGAAACACCTCTGAAACCAATCTTCCTGATCTTGCCGCAGAACGAGGAGACAGATTTGAGTGTGGCCTCTTGCCTCCTTGCCAGTCAACTTGCAATAAAGCCTTTTCTTTTCTTAAAAGCCAGTGCCGTAGCATTGGCTTCTATGTGCATAGGGAAGCAAGCCCTTGGCTTGGTGACAATTTTAAAGTTTAACAGAGATTTCTCAAAGAACTTAATATAGAGCTACCATTCAACACAGCAATCCCATTCCTGGGTATATACCCCAAGGGATATATATCATTATACCAAAAAGATACATCAACTCAAATGTTCATCACTGCATTATTCACAATAGCAAAGACATAGAGGCCGGGCATGGTGGCTCACGCCAGTAATCCCGGCACTTTGGGAGGCGGAGGCGGGTGGATCACTTGAGGTCAGGAGTTCAATACCAGCCTGGCCAACATGGCAAAACGCTGTCTTTACTAAAAACACAAAAATTAGCCAGGCGTGATGGTGCACACCTGTAATCCCAGCTACTCGGGAGGCTGAGACAGAAGAATCACTTGAATCTGGAGGCGGAGGTTACAGTGAACCAAGATCACACCACTGCACTCCAGCTTGGGCAACAGAACAAGATTCTATCTCAAAAAAAAAGACATGGAATCAACTTAGGTGCCCATAAATGGCAGATTGGATAAAGAAAATGTGGTACATATACACCAGGGAATGTATACATCCATAAAAAAGAATGAAATCATGTGCTTTGCAGCAACATAGATGTAGCTGGAAGACATAATCCTAAGCAAAGTAATGCAGTAACAGGAAACCAAACACCATATGCTCTCATTTATAAATGGGAGCTAAACATTGTGTACACATGGACATAAGCGTGGCAGCAACAGACACTGCAGACAACTTGGGGGAGGAGAGAGGGGGGCATGGGCTGGAAAAGTACCTATGGGGCACTATGCTCAATACCTGGGTCCACCATATGTAACAATCCTACACATGTACCCCTCTTTCAAAACTAAAAGCTGAAATATTTTTTTAAAAGTTTAATGAAGGATACAGACAAACAAGCAATAATAATACATTTTGATAAATGCTATATAAGTAGTGGTTCTCAAATGGAGGTAAATGTGCCCACCAGAGGACATTTGGCAATGTATGGAGACATCTTCAGTTGTCACAACTTGGGGGAGGAGGGTAAGCTACTAGCATTGAGTAGGTAGAGGCTTCTAAACATCCTACAATGTGCAGAACAGCATCCAAAGCAAAGAGTTACATAGCCCAAAATGTCAATAGCACCAAGGTTGAAAAACCCTGCTATAAAGGCATATAAAGGGTACATCGAATCTAGACAGAAGAGATAAGAGGTTTCCTAGAGGGAGTACCATGTAGGCTAAGATAAGTAAGGCTAAAGTAATATACAGGCAGTGGAGCAGAGAAGAATGCACATGGCACATACAAAGACTCAGAGGCTGGAGAGAGGATGGGATAATCAGCAGGGTTATCACCACCACCGCTATTTATTGAGAAATATTTTGTGCCTGCCTGGGTTTGTATAAGATAACCAATATACATTTTAAAATGCAGTCCTCATTCACAATCCTAGGAGTCACATATTTCTCCATTTTACAGATGAGGAAAAACTGGGGCACAGAGAAGTTAAAGTAACTCGTCCAAGGTCACACAGCCAGTGAATGGTGGGGCCAGAAGTTGAATCTAAGTCTGGCTAACTCTAGTAAGCCCATGTTCACCCCCTAAGCCCTCCTGCCTTTGACGATAGCTGAGTGTACTGGGAGACAGGGCGCGAGAGGAGGAAAAAAGCAGCAGCCTTGGAGGGCAAAAGGGAGCCACATTAGGACAGACCACGGGCATGGGAAAGAATGTGGAGACTGTCTTGAAGGCAGTGAAAATTCACCGAAGAATTTTAAATCAGAGTCACATGATCAAATGTGTCTTTAAGAAAGATCGCTTCTGGCTGCAGTGTAGGGAGTGGAACGAAGGAGGGAGGCAAGCTAGGAAGAAGTGTAATAGATAAATCCAGAGATTACTTAGCTTCCATAAGAAAAGTGTTAATGAGGGAAAGAATTCAAGAAAACGTTAGAAACTCAGATCTGTACTTAGTGACTGGTTAAAAGTTAGGGGTGAAGGACAGGGTGAAATCCAGTTTTCTGATCAGAGCATGTTAGTGAGTAAAAGTGCCATCCAGTAAGAGAATACAGAAGGGGCAGCAGATTTGGGAGAGTGAATGTGTGAGTTCAATTTGAGATGGTAAAATTTATGTTTAAATGGGAAGAAAAGAAGACCAGCCTGGACACAACAGATAAAATGAGAGATAAAAAGAAAGAATGCTGAAGAACTAGAGGTGAAAATGAAGACATGGAGTAGATTTAACTTTGATAGGGAGGAAAGAAGAGCAAAGGCCCTAGTCAGAGAGTGTGGTTTCAGAGAGATCTTAGGGGCATTTCAGTTCATGCAGGATGTTAGCGTAGAAGTAGGGGATATAGTAGAGTTAAGGAAGCTGAAGAGTATTAGTGTTTTGTGTATCAGCAACATGGAAATTCAAACATTTAAGGATGATGAAAGAGATAGAATGAAGAGGAAAAGGATCAGATGTTAAAACTTTTAAAAAGGGGCCAGGCGCGGTGGCTCACGCCTGTAATCCCAGCACTTTGGGAGGCCAAGATGGGTGCATCACCTGAGCTCAGGAGTTTGAGACCAGCCTGGCCAACATTGTGAAACCCTGTCTCTACTAAAAAAACAAAATTAGCCAGGCATGGTGGCGCATGCCTGTAATCCCAGCTACTTGGGAGGCTGAGGTGGGAGAATCACTTGATTCCAGGAAGCTGAGGTTACAGTGAGCTGAGATTGCGCCATTGCACTCCAGCCTGGGCAACAAGAATGAAACTCTGTCTCAAAAAAATGATAATAAAAATAAAAATAAAATAGAAAGGGTCAAAGAGAGCCTTCTCAATTGAGAGATTTTATTGATTAGGGAGGAGAGAGACAACACTGATTTCAAAGAGGAGTGTGATATGGTTTGGATACCTGTCCTCTCCAAATCTCTCATGTTGAAATGTGACTTCCAGTGTTGGAGGTGGGGCCTGGTGGGAGGTGTTTGGGTCATGGGGGTGGATCCCTCATGAATGGCTTGGTGCCCTATTAGTTATCCTGAGGTCTGATTGTTAGAAAGGGCCTGGCCCCTCTCCTCCTCGCTCAGTCCTGCTCCCTTGTGAGGCTTGCTCCCCTCTGCCTGCTGTCAGAGTGAAATCTTCCTGAGGCCTTACCAGAAGCATATGTTGGCACCATGCTTCGTATGCAGCCTGCACAACATGAGCCAAAATAAACCACTTACTTCTCTTTATAAATTACCAATCTCTGCTCTTTCTTTATAGCAATGCAAAACAGATTAACACAGAGCGGTAGCTTAATTTCAAAGAGGAATAGGACCTGAGAGTAAGTGCCAAAACAAAGCCCTGGAAATGGCAGTCAGGAGTGAAGTAACTGCGGTTTCCTCCATCACACCCACCTGAGACGACTTGACTGACACAAGGGCCTTCACTGAAGGTTTTGAAACATGGCATTGAGGGACAGCTAGAGCTCACAACAAATGAAGAAACAGGAGAGTCTGAGGAAACAGTATGTTGGGGAGTTTGGTCATAACTGAACCTAAGTTTCAAAAGGCATGAGGGTCAAACGGGAAGAGTTATGGATGAACTGGATAAAGACAAATGGACATAGCAATGGCTGACAAGAGGCTTAATGCAGAATTGAATAGCCCTAATTTTTTTTTAACTTTTATTTTAGGTTCGGGGGTACATGTGAAGGTTTGTTACATAGGCAAACTCATGTCACGGGGTTTTGTTATACAGATTATTTTATCACCCAGGTATTAAGCCCAGTACCCAATAGTGATCTCTTCTGCTCCTCTCCCTGCTCCCACCCTATATCCTCAAGGAGATGCCACTGTCTGTGGTTTCCTACTTTGTGCTCATAAGTTCTTATCATTTAGCTCCCACTTATACGTAAGAATATGCAGTATTTGGCTTTCTGTTCCTGCGTTAGTTTGCTAAGGATAACTGTCTCCGGCTCCATGCATGTTCCTGCAAAAGATCGGATCTCATTCTTTTTATGGCTGCATACTATTCCATGGTGTCCATGTTCCACATTTTCTTTATACAATCTGTCAGTGATGAACATTTAGATTGATTCCGTCAATTTCGGTTGATTCCATCAATTCCATCGTTTACGTTTGCTATTGTGAAGGGTGCTGCAATGACAATTCACATGCATGTGTCTTTGCAGCAGAATGATTTATATTCCTCTGGGCATATACTCAGTAATGTAGCCCTAATATTTTAATAAAACACTGAGATTCATATATGGTTTAGACCAGTGCTATCCAACAAAACTTTTCATGATAATGAAAATGCTCTATATCTGCACTGTCCAATATTTGCTACACGTGGCCATTAAGAACTTGAATTGTATGCTAGTGTGTCTAGGGAAAATACATGCAACTTTAACGGATTACGGTGTGGCCCCCAAATACAGTAATGAATCAACAGTAACCTCCTATTCTTCAAAGTGCCTATAACACCGTCCGATCACTAAGTATAAACTGTTATTCTCATTAAGTATGTTTGAGTTACCTTACAGTAAGTCCAGACTCAAAGATGCTACTAAGACCGGGCGCAGTGGCTCACGCCTGTAATCTCAGCACTTTGGGAGGACGAGATGGGCAGATCACCTGAGGTCATGAGTTCCAGACCAGCCTGGCTAACATGGTGAAACACCATCTCTGCTAAAAATACAAAAATTAGCTGGGCATGATGGCCCGTGTCTGTAATCCCAGCTACTTGGGAGGCTGAGGCAGGAGAATCACTTGAACCCAGGAGGAAGAGGTTGCTGTGAGCCGAAATCGTGCCATTGCACTCCAGCCTGGGCGACAGGGCAAGACTCTGTCTCAAAAAAAAAAAAAAAAAAATGCTACTAAATATGTATATATTATTGTCTTTGGTATATTTGGATTTTCTCAAAACTTCCCAATTATTGAGGAAAAACATTTGTCTTTAGTCATATACGAACACATACAAACTAATGCCTGGGTGTTAAGATTTTTGCAGCATTGCAAATTATCAGCAAATAAAAAGATTAAGCATATAGGTCTCTCAAAGTATTATACTGTACTACATTCTCTGAACAGTGATACAACAACAGTATTTGCAGAGCAGTAAGAATTCTCCAAATAGCAAATTTGTTTAATTCAGAAAAGTCAACATTAACAGATTGATAATTCACTTTGTGTGTTTGAAAAACAAAGTTTAGTTATAGAAGAATAACCAAATAAATACTCAGAAGAAAAAAGAAAAAAAAAAGAAAGACACTTTTATTTGCATCTTATTAGACTTGCCTTGGTTTTTTCAAAATTGGCTTCCTCAGATATTTGCAAAACTTGTTTCACCTGTTCATAAGCACTTGCTTCTCTTTGCTGCGTATCTGCCAAGCTGCTCCTTACGGAAACTAGTGCAGACATCAAGTCATCTCTTTCTCTGTCAGCACAAAAAGAACATTCAAAACAAGAAATGATCAAACGATCCTGTCCTCATAAGTCAGGGAGAGAAAAGCATTAATATGTATTAGAAGAGCCAGGGTAGGCCGGCTGAGCACATATGAAATAAAGCACACCCCAGAGAAAGACCCTCTGTCCTCACTTGGCGAGCGGCGGGCGGAGCAGCCAGAAAGGCTAAGAGCCTTCGTGGCAGGACGGCATCTGTGCGGGACAATCATCTATTGTGGAGAGGGCTGCAGGGGAAAGCCCAGAGAAGAGCAAATTAGTTTTTTAAAAGTGGGGGGAGGTGCTGAAAAGGAAAAATGCAGCAAAGTAGGGAAGGTACGAATTGTAAATCAAGGTAGCAGTCAACATTTTAAGGAAGGACTGAGGCTTTGTCCATGCAGCAGATTCTCCTCTCATTTACTTGAACAAATATATGTCCTTTCCTTTTTATCTTTCTCCACAATCCTCTTTTTTGCACTTCTCTTTCAATTACATTCTTTCAGTTACTTATGAACACTTGTTGTTGCTCAATGATTAGTACTGTTGAACTCCTCCAATCTCCTGGCTATGCATATAACATTCACAATTTAACACAATCTTATCCCACTGGGTTTGATCATTGCCAAGACCCACCCTTCTTCAGCAATTCTCAGAAGTACTCTATCCTAAGCTGTTTATTGGGAGTAGAAGTGAACCAAATGCCAAAATGCTCTGGCATGTAAAATAGCAAGGATACAATCTCATTGATTAAATAAGTCCCATATAAAATATTCTAGGATATTTGCAATTTATCAACTGAATAAAAATATCCAGTAGACAAAGAGAAAGTGAGGCAGGAAACTTTCAAGACATAAAAAGCAAAAAATGTATGCTGGACTGTTACATATGGTGTTCCCTGTTTTGTTAAAGAGTTGAAGACTAAACCACGGTTTCAAATTCATTTGAAATAAATGCTTGCAGTTTCCTTTTCATTGCCAAGGTCTAAACTATGAGAAAAGGGCCAACTATGATTTTTTTTTAATTAGCAAGTTTTAAAGAGTCATAGTGTAGAGGATTATAAACTCTGCTTGAATTACTTTCAGAATTAACCAATGATTCAATTTAAAACATCTCTTAAAGGTAAAATAAACTATTTGTGGTATTTGGAAAGCAGCCACATTTGAAGAAACATGTAATACTGAACAAAGTTACAATTATTAGCAGTTTCATAAAAGCCCTTTTTGTTTAAAAAAGAATAAGTTGCTGCAAATATAAAATTCATGGAAGCAGAGTGATCTTCACTTTAGAATTTCCTGATTTGTTTTAAATTGATAAAAATAATTTTTCTTCCAAGGAAATGAAAAAAGAAGTAAATTGTTTTAATCGAATATAATCAAACACAATTACTATGTAAAAAAGTGGAAGAATCAAGGCAAGATTAAATTATCCTAGTTAAGTAAAAAAATAAACACCAGCAAAATTGAATATGTGTCTATTTGCATTTCCATAAAAGTTCTATAACGTAAAAGGGGTCTAGCTTTATCAAGGATATGCAATCCAGTTAGGATCTATGATTCTAAAAGAAAAGAAAAATTCACTCTTTAAGGACAGCAAGTCAATATAGGCATCTTACAGTCACCTTTCTTAAATCACTAAGACTTAATGAAGAGCAAAAGTAACTATTCAATGAGATTCTTATCTGTTCCTGATACCATGCAGTCACCAAAGCCAAAGTTCCAAGGAAAAAGAATGAACAAAAAAGGCCAGGCGCAGTGGCTCACGCCTGTAATTCCAACACTTTGGGAGGCCGAGGTGGGCGGATCACTTGAGGTCAGGAGTTCCAGACCAGCCTGACCAACATGCTGAAACTCTGTCTCTATTAAAAATACAAAAATTAGCTGGGTGTGGTAGTGCGCACCTGTAGTCCCAGCTACTTGGGAGGCTGAGGCACAAGAATTGCTTGAACCTGGGAGGTGGAAGTTGCAGTGAGCTGAGATCGTGCCACTGCACTCTAGCCTAGGTGACAGAGCAAGACTCCATCTCAAAAAAGAATGATCAAAAAAGCTCAGTGTTTATAAGTATGCAAACAGACAGATCCACAACAGGATAAAAATCTAACAAACTTGCTGCTTATGGGAAACTTACGTTTAATAGACTTTATCTATTTTCAGAATATCCTCTTGTCAAGAGTAGTGTTTGTCACACAGTAGATGCTCAACAGAATAAACAACAAGAAAACAAATAAATGAATAAAGAGTCTGCTATAGGATGGTGTCAAAAGAGGTGAGGTAAAGCTCCCTCTCAGTTCTAATATTTCATGATCTAAACTGAAAACATTACCTATTTTGAATTAGAAACTAGAGTTCAGTCGTTCTGGTTCAAAAGTGTTTCAGAATATTAACTCACCAAATTTAGACTATGGAACCACAGAAAATTATCAAAGATAAAACTCCAATATACAGATGTCTTGTTAGGCCCATCATTCAACAGTGAGACCACAAAACGATTACACTCAAACTCCACGTAACCACTGGGCTGACACACTCCTCCTTTCTGTAAGGCAAATGCAACGCATGCTTCAAGGTAGCTTTGAGCCCACCTGGGAAGCTTGCAGGTAGGTAGTCATTTTGGCAATTTAGGATTATCTACTCATTCACTCAGGTGTTACTAAATCTTGGTTTTGGTTTGGTTTTGTTTTGACTCAGCCAGTCCACATAACAAATAGCAGCAAGCAACCCCACAAATAATTTTTTTAGAAAGAGCTCTGGGCTGGCAGTCCCCTCTCCTCAACACAAGGCCTTGCTTCCTACTCCATTCCTGTGGCCATCTGGCTTCATCTTGTCTGAGCTTTCATTTTTTAGCCCACTTATCCCCTGGGACTAACAGTGCTACTTATATAATCTGCCTTTCAGAAACAGCCGATTCCAGCCACCCAGGGTAACTGCCCAGTTAGCTACAGTCCTGCTCTAGATCCCGCAATCCACAGGTCCAGCCCAGAGCCACACCTGAATGAGGCTCTCACAATGGGAAGCTGTACAGACACATGTGGCATATCAATGTGAGAGTGAAAGGGCAGTTCTCCAAATTACCATCCTCCATGGCAAATGTTCTATGAGTGCTTGGAAACACCATGTGAATGTGTTGATGAATGTAATCAAGGAGCTTCTTGACGCAAAGCCAGCAACACTGTGTTAACCCTGCAACATTCCATGATCCAGATGAAAGAGCAGCTGAGGCAGAAAGATGACGTAAAGATCATGAGTGTTCTGGGGTGAAAAGCATGTACTTACACGCACTAATGAGCATGTAATATTTAAGAAACTTAGCGCAGCAATCAGGGCCAAAAGGACTGAGAAAGTCCCTTAACAATCTCAGCCAAGTGTTTAAGCAAAAGAGTTGGTCTAATGTATATGCATGAGCTCCACCTTGAAATGTGGAGTGGCTAAGAAATGTCTTATAATTTCTAAATTACTCCAGTTATTATTAATTTTAAGCATTATTAGGTATCACTAATAAGTGTTACTACACCGTTTTTAAAAAGAAAGTCTAGAAGGCTGACTACAACATTTCTTTGTTCCTCATTTCTGGGAAGTTCCTGCTGTAGTCTTTTAAAGCCAGCTATGCAGAGCAGGCCAATGATCCACTCCAAAATCACAAGCTGGACTAAAGCCCCAGAAAAGTACCCTTGGAATCTTTTCTCTTTTTTGAAAAGTATAAACTTCTCCAAGGTACTGTGAGCTACAGAAAGGAATTTAAGCAGTTCCATCTTGGTTACCATGTGAAGGTACTTTGATCATTAAGCAAGAAAAAGAGGTTACTGTTACTCTTACCTCCCTTATGGCATAAAGAGGCCAAGTGAAAGGCGAAAGGTCGGAAACAATATGAAGACTTCAAATCAACATAAAAAATATATCCAATGTCATCAATAGTTGTTAAGTATATTCTCCAAAAAGTCCTTGAGTCCTAAGAAACCACCAGAAACATATGGGTGGCCTGGTCTCCAAGTCATGCCTGATCCCCTCCTTGTCAACTGTACAAGCCATTATTTTTTTTTTTTTTTTTTTGGAGACAGGTTCTTCCTCTGTTGCCCAGGCTGAAGTGCAGT
The DNA here is from genome assembly GCF_000001405.40 of Homo sapiens. Lineage (NCBI taxonomy): Eukaryota > Metazoa > Chordata > Mammalia > Primates > Hominidae > Homo > Homo sapiens. The sequence continues at coordinate 243,312,665 of NC_000001.11, read as the reverse complement.
GGCGCAATCTTGGCTCACTGCAACCTCCGCCTCCCAGGTTCAAGCAATTCTCCTGCCTCAGCCTCCCAGGTAACTGGGATTACAGGCGTGCACCAACACATCCAGCTATTTTTGTATTTTTAGTAGAGATGGGGTTTCACCATGATGGCCAGGCTGGTCTCAAACTCCTGATCTCAACTGATCCACCTGCCTCAGCCTCCCAAAGTGCTGGGATTACAGGTGTGAGCCACCATGCCTGGCCATCAAGCCATTCTTGTTTCATGAATATATATTCAAAATAGTAAATGCTAAAGGATGCAACAAAGGAGCTGAAAGCTGCTGTCACAATACCACATTTACAAGGAAACTTTTGATTTATCATATTTAAGGTATCATTTTTAAACATTCCATGTTAAAGTCATTCAGGTAATATGATAACAGCTTATGGAGGGGGCAGGCTTCTAACTATACATAAAACTAGAAATCCAAACCCAAAAGGTGCTGGACACTCTTCAAAGTTAGCATAGCACTCAATATTCAGCACTCTGCATTAGTTAAGTTAGGCCAAGAGAATGATACAGAAGAAGAATTCATTGACAATAAAAGCAGAATCCGCTCAGTGTTAATAGGTTTAATATCCTTTCTGTCATTAATGCAGAACATGAGACAATGATATGCTGACAAGGCAGAAAATTGAACTAAGTAGGTTGACATTTACTTTAAGAGGCTAAGAGCTCAAATTTAGGATAGAGACAAAGGAATACATAACTGATCAAGAATCTTAATTTCTGAATGACTGCCAGGCTTGGAAGTAACCAAAACATTATAGCTTCCTTTAAAAATATTTTTTCATAATCTAGAAGGATAATATAAAAGGCAACATAATAACTTGTTATTTCTTGGCTGAGTTTTTTTTTTTAATTTTTAAATTTTTTGTAGAGACAGGGTTTCCCTATGTTGCCCAGACTGGTCTCAAACACCTGGCCTCAAGTGATCCTCCTGCATCAGGCTCCCAAAGTGCTGGGATTACAGGCATGAGCCACTATGCCTGGCTTATTAGTTTTGCTAGACTACCTAGTTTTAAGCTCTGCCTCTTTTTATTTGCAACTTTTAATATGCTTTCCTCTTTCTAAAATTAATTTTTAAATTATATTCTCCTTGCAAAATTAGTTACCAATATTGTTAAAGGCCTATTTGACACCCTTTCAATTTCATTGCCTTCGTCCACCTCTCTAGTGGTTATCTCTGTTAAATATTTAGTGTTTACACTTTCAAATATTTTTCTGTGCATATCTATGAACCTCGAAGGGGAAAAATGTAGTATGGTTGTATATGGACTTAAAAAATACAAAAGGTTTCATACTAGATTTATCTTTAGCCATTTTGTTTTGTTTTCTTGCAACAATATATTTTGGAGATGGTCCAACATTAATACACATAGAACTACTTCCGTTTTTCATACTATGCACAAAATGACATAGTTTATCTAAACCATGTTTAGTTACTCTCCTTTGAACGATATTTAGGTTGTTCACATAATTATAAACAATGCTGCAAAAAGCATTCCCTATACATACCCCATTATGCATGTACTTGAGTTTTTTCTTGAGGGTAGATTTTGAAAAGTGAAGTGCACAATTTGAATATGAATGGACAGGACTAATTTACTTCCAAAGTATTTCCACCAATTTATGAACCCACCAGCAGAGTGAAAATACTTGTGTACTCATGACCTCACCAACTCTTGAAATTATCAATCTTGTTCTATTTTGTCAGTCTGACGGGTTGTTCTTTAATTTTTTTATTGTATTTCCTCAAATACTAATAGAATAAATACATTTTCATATGCTGACATCTTCCTCTTTTATTGCTCACTGATTTCTATTCTTTACCTACTTTGCAACTAGGCAGCTTGTCCTTTTTGTTTGTTTCAAAGGAAATTTATTCTATTGGTCTTTTGTCATGTATAGTGCAAATATTTTTTCTCAGCCTTTTAACTGAATATGTAATGTTTTATTGTAAGGGAATTTATTTTTTAATAGAAACAAATGTATCTTTTTTTCCCTTATGACTTCCACTTTTCACGTCATCCTTAGGACTATAACCCACAATTATAAGATATTTTTTATATTTATTTCTAATGCTTTTATAGTCTGAATTGTATCTGAGCCTTTAAACTACCATGAATTTATTTTTGTAAGGTACAGCTCTGTTCTTGTTTTTCAAATATAAACAGGCAAATTTTTAACTTCTCTGAACCCCAATTTCCCTAGCTATAAAACGGGGGTAATAATATGTACCTCATGAACGCTTGAAGATTTTTAAAAATGATGTTCTTAAATCTCCTAGCACAGTCGTTGACATATAATAAATGTTTACTACATTTTTTAGTTGTATCTGAAAATAGTTAATACATGTTTAATAGTTATATTGAGACTATATGAATAAATTAACAACATATTGAATACTTAAAATACTTAACAAAAACAGAACCAAGCAGTATAGGTCATAAAAACTACCAGTCGGGCCGGGCGTGGTGGCTCACACTTGTAATTCCAGCACTTTGGGAGGCCAAGGCGGGTGGATCATGAGGTCAAGAGATCGAGACCATCCTAGCCAACATGGTGAAACCCCGTCTTTACTAAAAATACAAAAATTAGCCAAGCATGGTGGTGGGCGCCTATAGTCCCAGCTACTCGGGAGGCTGAGGCAGGAAAATCACTTGAACCCGAGAAGCAGAGGTTGCAGAGAGCCAAGATTGCGCCACTGCACTCCAGCCTGGCAACAGAGAGAGACTCCGTCTCAAAAAACAAAAACAAAACAAACAAACATAAAAAACTACCAGTCAGTCCACACTGGAAATTCTATGTTCATATAACAATTAGTAGGTTAGGTCAGGTGTGGTGGCTTATGTCTATAATCCCAATACTTTGGGAAGCTGAGGTGGGAGGATCACAGGAGTTCAAGAACAGCCTGGGCAACATAGTGAGACCCCATCTCTACCAAAAAAAATTTTTTTAATTAGCTGGGTGTGGCGGCACATGTCCGCAGTTACTCAGGAAGCTGAGGCAGGAGGATCGCTTGAGCACAGAAGTTCAAAGTTGCACTGAGCTATGATTGTGCCATTACATTCCAGCCTTGGCAAAGGAGTGAGACCCCAACTCGAAAACAACAGCAACTCACCCCCAACCTGAGTGAGTTAGCCATGTGTGGAAATCACAGCTAGAAGACATATTGATCATTCTTGGGAGTATAGAAGGTACAGAATGGTTTTAATATTTACTGAGCATTTACTATATGTCAGGAAGTGTTTTAAGTACTATATAGGTTTTCTCTAGTGACCCCTCAAGGTAACTCTATGAGTTAGGTACTTATGTCACCATTTTAAAAATGAGAAAATTGAGGCACAAAAAGGTTAAGTAACTTTTGCAAGGTTCCATGGTAAGTTGGCAGTAGAACCAGAATATGAACCCAAGCAGTCAGTTTCAAAAGCAGTACTTCTGGTCACAGGCTAACCTGCCTTAGTAAAATCCCAAAAAGGTCTTAAATCTGAAGAAGCAGGTATTTTCCTCCAAACAACAGAAGATGCCAGGCTCAGAGAAGAAAAGGAATTTGTTGAAGGTCAGGACATGGAGCAAAATCGGTCTGACCTTAATGACCACAGAAGAAAGGAACCTAAGTCAGTTGAGGACAAAATGGGGCAGAGCTGATGAGAGACTTCTTCTAAAAGGAAGTGATCTGGGGTTATTTAAGTGAGCACAGCAGATAGAGAGAGGTGACACTGAGCACAAAGAAAAGTAGGGGGCATGGAAGAACATACACTATAAACTGCCACTGGGTTCTATATTACATAATAATTCTCAATTTCCACAGAATAAAATTTTCACAGGAAAAGGCCTCCTCTGGAATAGTGAAAACAACAAAACAGATGTACGAAGAGAATTGTTTCACTCAGCTTAGACGAAAACTTGGACAACACAAAAGGTCATCTGTAACTTGTTCTCAGTTAACCCTCAAATATCAATAGTGGGATACAGTGGGTCCTTATAATACTCCTTACAACAGACACATGATGAAGATGTGGTAATAACTCATTCTACCTGAAGTACAGCAGAAAAATCCAAGATATGGCAAAACCAAAGGAATTTCTATTACACTCAGTTTTGCTAAGAATAGTATTAGATTTGTAATCATAGATTCATAGAACTGGACAGAATCGTAAAGAACTGTCTAGTTCAATTCTCTCACTTGAAGATGGACTGAAACCAAGAGATACTATTATCTGTTCAAAGTGGCATGGTTTCTGTTCAAAGTGACATGGTGACATGGCAGAACCCACCCATTTGTCTTCAAGGAAGCTATAATGAAGGAACCTTTTAAAATCCACTGTATTTGAAGATTAACAATAATCACATGTGACTTAGCATAGGGCTAGAAGAACACAATGCCCCTTTAAAGGCAGAATTTTCCATATTGCCAAAGTCTCCGTGCGCGTAGAAGCATACTTACTTAACCAGTCTTTCGATGGTCTGCATATGAACATTAGTATGGGTTTGGGAAAGAACAGCTTCATGCTGAGCACATTTCAAACAAAGACCACCAACACGGTTACAAGTATTAGCAGCCAGAAGAAATTCTTTATGCTTTAGTTGCTCTTTAAGATCTTCACAAGTTCTCTGATATTCAGCTAAGTCGTTCCTAAAAAGAGGGTGAAAAAATTCTAGAAAATGGCCAGGTAAAATTACATGACTTTAAAATGAATCATCATAATGTTAACTACTACTATCGTTTATGGGTACTCACCTTATGCTTTAGTTTACGTCCAATACCTTATTAATTTTTACCACGACCCTGAAACTTTGGTGTGGTGATTCTAATTGACACGTTGAATATGATGAGACTGGAATAAATTACATAATTAGCTTAGGTTCTTGTAAGATTTTAATATAGATTAGAATCCGCCTGACACTGGCTCTCTTGTCCCAGGATCCAACCTCCATTAATGTTATATTAACCACAAAACAAAAATAAAACTCCAAATATAAATCCCAAATCATTTTCCTTAAAAAAGGGGTGGGGTAATATAAGACAACATACTTGAGGTGAGGAAAATACCCTATTTCAAGCATTAATCTCTTAAAATTTTTAGAGTGTCTTAAAAGTTCACATAAAAAAACATGGATTTTTATCCTTGACTAGTTTATTACTGCCCATTTTTCTTCAGGAGGAAAACATTACTGTTAGATAGATAATTATCTAACGACAAACTTCTACAAAGATCTGTTTCAAAAGAAAGTAAGTTACAGAAGGAAGTTACATAGAACTTGCCAGTCATAAGATTTCAGGGGTAGTAGCTATTAGCTGGAAACATACAGGCTGCTAAAGAAAGGGCTGGGGAATGGTGGGGGTGGGGGTGGTGTGGGTGTGGGTGTAGTTTTTGTTTGTTTTTACTTTATCAGCTCACCTCTGGATGAGGTTTTTCTCCAAGGTGACTTTTTAAGGATTAATTGACTAGTACATGGGTTGTATTTTCCTACCTTATCCCAGTAAAGCTGCGCTAAAGTCACCTTGGCAACTGAGCTTCCTTGCCTAGATGGTTCTTTTGTACTTCAAAAAAAAAAAAAACAAAAAAAAACTTTCTAGCTGAAAAATGAGACTACTGAAGGCAGGAACTTTATCTCCATCTCTGTCTACTCTCTGTTGTCATTGTCAAAGTCTCCACGCTCAGGTGCTGTGGCCATCTTAACTGGCTCACTGTCACAGAGGAGAAGCCAACAGCCTGGCTGTCAGACAACTGTTGAGATTTTGGGGGCTTTCAAGCAACGCAGGAGAGGCATAAAAGACCCACAGGCAATCTAAGGGTTAAAAAAAAACTTTGGAATGGCATTCCAAAGTTGAGGGGAAGAAAAATGAGCTGCGTCTACCCTATCCCCAAAATAATAACACCAAGATGATAAGTTTTCTTTTTCAATATCATGTAGGGAATGTCTGACTTTCAAAGGCTTTATAAAAAGAACTTGGGAAGCACATTCCAAAGTCAAAGGGTCCCCATTACTAATTTTGGTCAGCTCCAAACTCAAAACACTCAAGTAGATTTGGTTACTAGAAATGGCAAAAGAGAAAGTTAAAAAGAAAGTTGAAAAGAAGACTGATTTTATTTATTTATGAAAATGCCTCTTTAAATAATCTTAAATTATAGTAAAAGAAAATGAAGAAACAGAAGGATTCAGAGAACAAAGTCTAATTCATTACAAGTTGGTATTTTAATGTAATTAAAGATGAAATATCTGGATTCTGAATGAGACAAAATAAGTCACATTCCCTTAAGTACAATGATCTAGAAATACATCACTTTAAAAACTAAAGAATCAAGTCGTAAATAAAATCAAAATAAAATAAAATAGGACAAAAAACAAGAAAGCAAAAATTAGAGTATTTTTTAAATGTTAACATTTCTTTGTAAAAAAGTAAAAATCTCTAAGAGAAATCCTAAAACTAATCAGGGTAATCTATGAAAAACATAAGAACATTTAAAAAATAAACAACCATGTACAGTGAAAGCTATGAGTTCCAGCTCGGTTTTTTTTTTTTTTTTTTTTTTTAGATGGAGTCTCCCTCTGTCACCCAGGCTGGAGTGCAGTGGCATGATCTTGGCTCACTGCAACCTCTATCTCCTGGGTTCAAGTGATTCTGCCTCAGCCTCCTGAGTAGCTGGGACTACAGATGTGTGCCACCACACCCAGCTAATTTTTATATTTTTAGTAGAGACAGGGTTTTACCATATTGGCCAGGCTAGTCTCGAACTCTTGACCTCAAATGATCCACCCGCCTTGGCTTCCCAAAGTGTTGGGATTACATGCGTAAGCCACCACAATCAGCTGAGTTCTGGCTCTTAGTATTACTCTAGTTATGTCTCTAGATAGGCTATGGCCTGGAAGATTTTAAAATTTCAAATTGGACTTATTAAAATAAAATTATAAACAATATTTCAAAGTTTATTTGATTTAAAATTACTTCATTACTACTATTTAAAAATAATCTTTAACAACAAAAATATTAATTCCTGCTGTCTTTTTCTACTCATTATACATAAATCACTAATGGTTAATCTATAATATATAGGTCTTACTGGGATCTCTAATAAATAGATTCTATAAAAAGTACATGAATATTCATCATATATACTCAAATTCATCATGTATACAAATACTCAAACTATTATATTATCATTGCAATTTTAAAATTAGATGAAGACTATCTACAGAGAAAAAATACTAATAATTTGAAAACTAAAGTGCTTTATTTTCATTATTTTACTTGAATATCATAATTTCTATAAGAGCAGTTAGTGAT